>NW_017852928.1:0-300000 GCF_000001405.40 Homo sapiens
CTTTTGGCAACACCCTCACAGACACACCCAGGAACAATACTTTGCATGTTTCAATCCAATCAAGTTGACCCTCAATATTAACCATTACAAGGAGGGAGAAAGCAGGGGGTGCAAGAAGGTATTCACCTGCAGGGGAGAGTAGGTAGATTGGTATTATTAGAACAGCACACACAAAAAGTCAGAAGGTCAAGGACACACACACAGTCAGAGATCAGTCAGGTTTGTGGAGGGGCCAAAATTTTGATGTACGAAGTGAAGAGAGAGACTTATGTGAAACTAACAGTTGAAAATGGCCAGAAAGATAGAGAGGGATGGACTGTAAAAGGTCCATGAAAGAACCTAGAGCCTCCCAAGGAGGCTGCCCTAAAGCTCATGCCTGTTAGGTGAAACCACCCTACAATGAGGTGTAGGGTGACATCTCACTAATGAGGACCCTTAGTAGAATTTAAAATTTATGCTCAATTCCACTTTCTTTTTCTTTTTGTTTTTGAGACAGGGTCTCACTCTGTCACCTGGGCTGGAGTGCAGTGGTGCAATCATGGCTTACTGTAGCCTCTAACTCCTGGGCTCAAGTGATCTTCCCACTGCAGCCTCCCAAGTAGCTGGGATACCGGCACATACCACCAGTCCCAGCTAATTTTTTGTGTTTTATATAGAGATGGGGTTCTGCCATGTTGCCCAGGCTGGTCTTGAACTCCTGGACTCAAGCACTCCACCTGCCTTGGCCTCTCAAAGTGGTGGGATTACAGGTGTGAGCCACGTATAATAACACCCGGCCTAAATTTCACTTTCTAATGAAATGTGTTAGAACAAGATTCCATAGCTACCTCAGAGGAGACAACACATACAGCACATAAGACCTTGCTGTACTTGCCTTCTCAGATGAAGAAAGCTGGAAAAAAAAGCTGTTAAAGAGACCTTTTTATAATTAGCTTGGGAAAACAGGGGCCTTCATAAAAACAGAGATGGAGAGACCCATAGCCAAGATCCTTGGAGACTTCAGGAAGGGCAGTTGTCTAATAGTTTCTTAGCACAAGGCCATACCTGCCCCCACGCAAAAGTACTAATGCAAATGAATGTGCATGGACACTTAAGAGAGGTATAGAGGCTCAGCCTTAAGTATGTCAGTCTAAACGTTTTAATACTATCTAAACTAACAGGATATACAAAAATCCTCTGCATGTGGCCCTGAAGTGCACAGATTCTTAAAAGTCCTTCTTCTTCTAGACTCTTCACAGAACACAGATGCCACCGTACAGTTCCACAACTCCATTAAAAAGTGGGCAAAGGACATGAACAGACACCTTTCAAAAGAAGACATACATGCGATCAATAAACATATGAAAAAAGCTCAACATCACCAATCATTAAAAAATGCAGATCAAAACTACAATGAGATACTATCTCACACTAGTCAGAATGGCTACTGTTAAAAAATCAAACAATATCATGTGCTGGTGAGGTTGTGGAATAAAAGAAACGCTTATACACTGTTGGTGGAAGTGTAAATTAGTCCAACCATTGTGGAAAACAGTGTGGGAATTCCTCAAAGAGCTAAAAACAGAAATGCCATTCAACCCAGCAATCTCATTACTGGGTATAAACCCAAAGGAATACAAATTGTTCTATCATAAAGACACATGCACATGTATGTTCACTGCAGCACTATTCACAATAGCAAAGATATGGAATAAACTTAAATGCCCATCGATGATACACTGGATAAAAAAACATGGTACATATACACCATGGAGTACTATGCAGCCGTAAAAAAAAACGAGATCATGTCCATCGCAGGAACATGGATGAAGCTGGAGGCCATTATCGTTAGTAAACTAACACAGAAACAGGAAACGAAATACCACATGTTCTCACTTATAAATGGGAGCCAAATGATGAGAACACATGAAAACGTACAGGGGAAAAACAGACACTGGGGCCTATCAAAGGGTAGACAGTGGGAGAAGGGAGAGGATCAGGAAAAATAACTAATGGGTACTAGGCTTGGAACCTGGATAATGAAATATAATCCATACAGCAAACCCCCGTGACATGAGTTTACCTATATAACAAACCTGCACATGTAAACCTGAACTTAAAATAAAAGTTAAAAATAAAAATAAATAAATACATAAAAACAAATGTCTGGCCTCATTAAAATTTGAGTTAAAACTATGATTCATGAGAAACTTTTGTTGTTAGAGAAAATTATTTTCATGACCCAAGCTGAACTCTAGGCTATGAAGAAACTAAATCTAAGAGAAGGCTTCACGGTGACGTCTAGAGAGGCTTTAGGAGGTCCTCAAGGAACCTCCGCTTTCCTTTGGTGGGTGTTTGTTGTTCCCTGTGTAGCACTCACTTTCCCTTCTTCTAATGGCTCCTTTAGGCCATGTCCTATCCCCGTGGCATGCAGTCTTGGTGGGATAGTCAGCAAAAGTTTCCTATCAAGGACACACGGTTCAAGCTAGACCTATCTGTTTCCTAAAAATTAAATATTGGGTAGAATGACAGAAGAATAGGAAATTGTTGGGGTTGATTCTGTTTCTCACTCTTTCTCTCTCTTCCTCCCTCCTTCCCTCCATCTGTCTCCTTTTCATTGTGTTAAGTTAGCCAGGAATAGTTTCCACTGATTGCAACAAAAAAATCCCAAATGATATATTGCAGTTCATGCATCTCAATATCTTGTGAATCTAGTTTAACCGTCAGGAGGGCAGCCACAAGGGTAAGACAGATGAGGGGAACCTGGACAGAGATACCGAGTTTATAGCTTTCTAGAAAGCTCACTAGAATTTCCAAGTTGCTTCAAAATGGCATATGAGGAAGAGGAAAGGGACAGTGGAAGACTGTATAGAATGGAAAATCCTGCAAACATGTGCCAATGGAGGCTCTCTTGGGCACTAATTCAGGTTATGAGAGGCATTATGAGCAAGGCACAGCAGTCAGAGGGCAGTACCATGGGCCAGCTGAGTCACCGCCATGACTCAGGTACCGGCAGAACAATAAGATGGAGTCCATACACTAAGGTGCCATTCAAGAAATATTTAGGGCAATATCAGATGGATGAGGCAGAGCACCCTGGAGCAACCGGCCGCAGCCACAAGGAAAGACATGGAAGTATTGGCCGCAGCAAGTGCCAGAATTGAAGGCTACTTGCTCAGCCATTGCAGGAGGCTGTCATTTCTGACCTGGTGTCCTCACTGGCTGTTTCCCCAGAGAGAATGGGAGAGTTCTAAGGGAAATCCGGGTGTCTCAGAGGCTCCTCTGTATCACTGCTGTTGCCCTCTGTCAACCTAAATAACCAACAGAGAAAGCCTCTCTAAAAGAAAGTGGTGCTTATTCAGGAAAAGGGCATTGCAGTATGGGAGCCACAGTAAACAATGTGTGTATTCAGGGAGATAAGAGGTACTTAAAGAAAAATGAAGATGATTACTTTGACAACTTTCACACTTCCAATAGCTGGGAAGAGACCCTAATCTCAGGACTCTTCAGGGTCTTCTACAACCTCCATATTCAGACCTACAAACAGCAGGATCTTCCAGGACCTCCCATTCTGGAGTAATTGTTTATAAAGGGAAAGTCATACAGCACAGTGGACCTGGAGTTTGAATTCCTTTCCCCTTTGCCACAGCTGCGAAGCCCAGAGATGCCCAGTAGCCATTTCACAGGGTTGCTGTGAGGATAAATGAGATGTTGCACATAACGCATTTAGCACAGAGTCCCACGCACATGAAGTGCTCAACAAAGTTAGAGAGAGTGCCAGCAAAGATGCTCACTGACGCAACCAGGGACTGCTCCAATTCCTTCATTGTCACTATGAAACTCCTGTACACATTCTGTGGAAGAAAAAAGCCTGCTGCTATGCTTGCACCCCATGACCATTAAGTGGCCCTAGAAGACTTCTACTGCATGTGGAGGGGTCAGAAGGGCGGTGGCTGTTGCTTCAAGAAGGGGGAACGGGAGCATCTGGCAGTGACGTCCCTTAAAGCCAAGTGGCAGCTGATTCACACAAATGGTATTTGGATAGAGGTGGAAGGAGTAAGAGAGAAGCCTGCCCCTGCCTCCCAGAAGCTGGCTCCTCTCTCATCATTACAGCTGCCATCTTTCATCATCCAGGCCTCCCCCAGATGTGGCAGACAACTCACCCATAGAATCTCCTCCCACACCAGGAACATGTTGAGACTTTGTTGCCTGTTCCTGGCACTCTTAGGATCTGTGCTCTGGTCCCTTGCGTAAGTGGCAGAGAACAGCACCAGAAGAAAAGGGGTATGGGGAGATTGAAAATTGTTTTTGATGCAGCTGGAGAAAAAAATACATTCGACATTTAGGTAGATATAGTATTATGGCAAAATAAAATACTCATGTTTAGAGGAGATCCATGTTCACAGAGAAAAAAATCACAAGTTGCAACAGTTAGCAACACAAGGCTCAATCCCTCCACTTGTACAGCTGCTTCCAGCGAGTCATGGCATTGTTGGCTCCAGCATCAGGGGTACAATGATGGACACAATGAAAATTAACTCATTTCATTTAAAGTCAGAATATAACTTCAGCAAAAAAATTAAACTTCCTTTGGGTATTTGCACTACATTTTTAAAATATAGAAATTTCCAAATATTTTTTTCTATGTTCACGTCCAATTGCTTTTTCAACATCAACAAAATTCCACTTGGAAATTGTTCTGCTGTCACACTGCCCCTTCAGAAATGGTCCACAGGTTAGTGGTGCTGAATTCTCAGCTCACTCTTAAAAGTTCCCTGGAGGAACTCTAGCACTCATTTCCAGTGGCTTCATATATGAATCTAATAACAATATTTATATTTGGTATGTGGATAAGAAAATATTGTTTACCTCGAGTCCCAGACCTTGTGCTAAGCACTCTACAGGTGTCGTCTAATTTTGCAGGTAACAAACATGGGAGAAGTTCACATCAGAGAGCTGGTAAGTAGGGAAGCTGGGATTCAAACCTGACCCACTTCTTTGCAAATCTTAGGTGACCTTGATAGAGTTAGACGGGCATGTTTCCTCATCATGAAGACTCCAGTTTTTATAACTGTCTCTATGTCCACAGTGTCTGGCATATATTATTAGAAGCCCCCCCCAAAAGTTTATTCTTAGTCATTGGTTTTACTTCTTTAAGTGGGACACACCTGCATTTACCTCCTCCTACCGTATTCCAACTCCATAACCAAAGTAAAGCACTCCACATCTGTAGCTCTCTCTCTAGAATTCTGGGAGTAAGGTTGAAATCTAAAATAGGAGTTCTACAAAAACAAAATGAACACTTTTTTTTTTTTTTTTTTTTTTTTTTTTTTTTTTTTTTGAGACGGAGTCTCGCTCTGTCACCCAGGCTGGAGTGCAGTGGCGGGATCTCGGCTCACTGCAAGCTCCGCCTCCCGGGTTCACGCCATTCTCCTGCCTCAGCCTCCCAAGTAGCTGGGACTACAGGCGCCCGCCACTACGCCCGGCTAATTTTTTGTATTTTTAGTAGAGACGGGGTTTCACCGTTTTAGCCGGGATGGTCTCGATCTCCTGACCTCGTGATCCGCCCGCCTCGGCCTCCCAAAGTGCTGGGATTACAGGCGTGAGCCACCGCGCCCGGCCAAAATGAACACTTTTTGTTGGTTACTGAGAGAACTAACAAAGCTTGTTTTGAATTGACATTGCTGTTTGATTGTCACAGGTTTCTTCACAGATTAGGATAAAGGATGAAGAGAAGTAAACTGAATTACTAAGGATGCAACATTAATGGAGAGAGCCAAGTGATGTAAATCGTGGCTGGCCATGAGTGGATCTTGAGTGCCAGTTATCTAGGTATCACTCCATCCAGTTTCCCCCTCTCATTCCGGTTGCCAACACAGGCATCAGAGACTTTTTCCAACTCATCCCTGCTCACACCTCATAGCAATCCCCTGAGAATACATATATTGCTATCCCCATTTTACTGATGAGATAACTGGCTTAGAGGAGCCAAGCAACTTGCCCAAGATCACAGAACCACAGAGTGGCAGAGCTGGATTACAACCAGCTCCCTCTAAGCCCTTAGACTGGTAACTAATATTCTGTTTTCTAATAAAACCCTAGCCTTTTGTAAAAGATGCACTTTAGGAACATTCCTAAGATAGGTAATGACCTGCAGAGATTGCATTTCTGATCCAAATCAAACCTAGGCTGAAGGAGACGAAGCAAGGGCCAAACACAATGATTCATTGCCTACCTTGTGAAAGACAACAGTAATTCTAGGTCAAAGTCTAATGAACGGATGTCCGCATAGCAATTAGCAGTGCCGGCATCCTGACTGGCAGTCTTGGCAGAGCAGCTGTGATCGTCATAGAAACTGTACTCCTCTCTCCCCCACAGAGAAATTCCACGTGGCTGTTCCAGGATGGATTAGGCACCAATGACTCTCTTTCACCCTCGAGCTGGAATCCTGCCCCTTTAACACCTTTCCAGAGAGAGGCAACCCATGGAGGGTCACAGCAAGATGGGATGGTTGTGCCTGGTAGTAAAAATATGTATCACTCTTCATTTCATCCAGCTTTGAAGCTTCTGCTAGCAGCTCACACATGACCCCAAGGGCAGCTCCTCAAGTCTGCTAAAGAAAAGTTAAGTAGAATTAATTTTGTTCAATATCTCCCATTTTGTTAGATTCATCATTTTCAGTCAAGAATGACAATATTAATGGAACCAAAAGAATATATACTATTAACATTTCGTCTTAATTCTACAAATGTCTAAAAGTCTCTGTAATTCCCTTAAAAATAAAAAAAATGCAATATTAATTTAGGGAGCACTCTAGTTGAGCAATCAGTTCTATAGAAAATCAACGTTATATTACTCCTATTATTTACAGTATATGGCATTACATCGTAAAACTACCTTATCTTTTACTTGGGAAGACAAGGGGTGGAGGATTTGAAGAACCAAAACTTACAGAATTCCTAGTATGAACTGAGCATATTACTTCCTCTGCATCTACAAGCTTCTTATAATTATCTCCATCTTGTATGAAAGAAAACAACCTTCAGAGAAATTAGATAACCAGTTCTCTGTCTCACAGACAGTGTGAAGCTGGTATTCAAAGCCCCGGCTGTCTGACTCCAAAATCTCTGTTCTTTCTACTCCAAATTTCACATGTATTTATTTTACTTCACATGGATCTGTATCTGGGATTACTCTGTAATACATAAATTATAGAAAAAAAATTTGGCTGGGCACAGTGGCACACGCCTGTAATCCTAGCACTTTGGGAGGCTGAGGTGTGTGGATTGCCTAAGCTCAGGTGTTCGAGACCAGCCGGGGCAACATGGTGAGACCCCATATCTACTAAAAATACAAAAAAAAAAAATTAGCTGGGTGTGGTAGTGCATGCCTGTAATCCCAACTAATTGGGAGGCTGACGCAGGAGAATCACTTGAACCCAGGAGACAAAGGTTACAGTGAGCTGAGATCGAGCCACTGTACTCCAGCCTGGGCAACAGAATGAGACTGGCTCCAAGCCACGCCCCCTGCCCCAGAGCACCAAATTTAAACTAGCTGGAACCCAACTAATTAAAATCTTGAATTAAATGATTCTTCCTCTACCATATCTCCATTCTCTGCCACCATCACATTCTCAGCCTGTAGGGATAACAAGTGGGGACAAAACAACTAGGACCTATGATTGTTTTTAATCTTTAAAATGTGCCATGAGGTAAAATAATTAGCCCAACTTCCTAAATCAATTCCATTACACTGTGGTAACAAGGATTTCTGATATAAACCCAAAGCATTGTGAGATTTTAAATTATTGAAGAAAGATTCAATTATGTTCAGGATATCCTACTTAGGCAGGGAAATGTACTCATTTCCCTAAGTTTTTAGGTAATAAACTGAAAAAAAGTTGATTTTTTTTTTGTGTGTGTGTGAGGGGAAGGGACTATCTAGAAAACTCCATCACATAGTTCCTTGACTGCGTAGGTTAGTCTATATAATTATTTAAAAAGAAAACTTCATTTCCTTCCCAACCCCAAAACTACCATGTAGATAAAAACAAGTGCCAAGGGCAATGAGGCAAAATGCTTGTATTTGAATCCCAGTTCCATCACTAGTCAGCCTTGGGACCAATGGCAAGACCTTACCTCTTTGGCATCAGATGCTGCAGCAATGAAATAATGAGTTAGAATAAGATAATCTCCCAGTCCTTGCCTGGGGTGTGCATTTATGAATTCATTCATTCAACAAATATAAATATTTTCATAGACACAATGTTTCAATGTTTTATGATACCATCTTGACATTCATCAGCATTACATATTTATTAGGCAGAGTGATTACAAAGAAAGACTCAGTCATTTCCAAGGAGCTCACAAGGGGAAATCTGACATTTACACAACAGTCAAAGGTAGCCAAAGGAAACAACAATGGTCAGTATGAGCAAGGCACTACAGGATTCCCCAAGAATCATTTAATTTTTTCATTATTTCAGTAGTTGTGCTAAGACAAAAGTGATGATCTATGGAACACTCCTTAGCCTCCACACTGGACATGAGATTGTATTTAGTATTTGCTCTGCAGTCCTCCCTTGTTGTGAAAAGCACATATATCCAGAATAGTGACTAAACATAACCATAGGCAAATGGCTACATGCACATAGAGAGTCTACACAGGAAATGTGAACATATATGTACTGAACATTCATACATCAATATCCATCATATTTGCCTTCAATTCAGTGCTATAGCAAATGTTTACTGTGTGTTTGGTGCTGAGTGGGCTATAGAGGTAGAAAAGAAAGGATCTTGCCCCTCTAGGAGCACACCACTTATTCCATTTACTAAGAAAGACGGAAATATAACCAATTCCAACAGGGGCAATGATAGTGGTTCTAACAGTAATACTTCCAGAGTGTAGGAAAGGAATACTTAATGTTGTCTAAAGAATCTGGGAATTCTCAGAAAAGATAGGACTTTATCTGAGCTCTAAAGAAAGAGTAGCTCTTTGATGGGGCAATGTGTGTGAAAATGTGTATAGAGAAGCAAGAAGGCCTAACCTTTTAAGTAGTAACAATATGTCCAGACCCAGTGATAGGATCCATGTGGGCCAGAATCAGTAAATCCATATGGGTGCAGCATTAGGTCTTTGAGGAATGTAGTGGAGATCAAGGTTAGAAAGAGACACCAAAGCCAAGCGCAGGGGCTCACGCCTGTAATCCCAGCACTTTGGGAGGCCGAGGCAGGCGGATCACCTGATGTCAGGAGTTTGAGATCAGCCTGACCAACATGGAGAAACCCCATCTCTACTAAAAATACAAAATTAGCCAGGCGTGGTGGCACATGCCTCTAATCCCAGATACTCAGGAGGCAGAGGCAGGAAGATCGCTTGAACCCGGGAGGTGGGGGTTGTGGTGAGGGTGAGCTGAGACTGCACCATTGCACTCCAGCCTGGGCAACAAGAGCGAAATTCCATCTCAAAAAAAAAAAAAAGAAAGAAAGAAAAGAAGGAGACACCAAAGCCACAGAACTTCACTCTGATATTGAGTAACAATTAAGAGCATGAAATCTGGAGCTAGACTTCCTGAGTGTGAATCCTGGCTCCATGTGAACTTAGGCAAGTTACTTAGCCTCTTCTGTTACATTAAAAAGAGTTGAAGTGTGGGAATGCTTTAAACAGTGCCTAGTATTTAATAAAGTCCATATATAAGTTCGGTATTCAATATACAATGGGGAAGCAATTAAGGTAATGGAATTAGCGTGTGACCTAACTGGTCTACTTATATAGTTTTCCTTACTGTGCTATATTAAGGAGGCTGTATTTAGGAGCTGAAAAAGGAGTTTGTGGTTGTCATTGTGTTGCAAAGTTAAGAGGAATATATATTTCATCTATGTAATTAGTAATGATAGGTTCTCAGTCTTGGGAGCTCTCAGGTTGTCCAGATCCCAAAGACAGACCATGGACGATGGTTCACATTCTCAGAAACTCCTGGGATTTGGAAGGCACATTTCCTTTCATTAAAATACTCATGGTAGGTACATGCTTTCATATGAAATGATCATTCCATTTCTTATTTACTCTTTCATGATTTTTATTAGATTTTCTTAGAAAATACTAGTGTATTAGAAAATAAAAATTAGGGCTCATAGGAAAGAACATTGGATGTCTAGCCAGATTGGAACACATAATTCTTTTAAGAGATGCCAGGGACATTTCCCTCTTAGGAGAACTGGGAGCAACAGGCTTAAAGGGATTCTACACACTGCATTAATTATTAGAACATGACTCTTTGTTCCTCTATTCTATTACTCACTGATTACAAACCTTAAGGAGAAAGGTCATTATTACAAACAGCAAGAAAACAGAGGTTTAAGTTAAAATTGTCTTGGAAGGCTGTAAAACGGTGATTTTCCTTCCTTTGAGGAATAGTAAATGCAAGTATTATAATTCATAAGGGCTACTCCTTTATACAATTCAAAATCAAAATCTCATTACTCTCATCATCGCATTTTCAATAAGAATTAATTTCTGAATTTTATTAATTTTAACTATGGACTCTGCTCAATATTCTCAGGTTTGGAGAAAAAGTAGGGCAGCATTTCTATTCCATGCACTGAAAAAGACCTGGAAACGAAGCGCAAAAGCCATCACACTCCAGGAAATGTAGCAAGGCAGTGTGACCTAGTTGTAGACCCAGACAACTGGTATTCTTTTCTAGTTTTCTGCTCTCTGGGCCACATCATAGTCCTAACTTCTCTGAGCTTGGTTTTCTCTCTCTGTTGAAGTGTACATTAATGCAGGGAATTTACTATTGTGGTAATATTCTTGTAGTCACCAATGGTAATTCTCTCTCTCTGTCTCTCTTCCTCGCTCTTTCTCTCTCTCTCCTTCTCTCTTTCTCTCTTATTTTGCTTTATAAAGACTCAAACTAGAGGGTGATAGCTACCCTAAAAGTCCAGAATTCACCACTACACAATATATTCATGTAATGGAATGGCACTTGTACCTCTTAAATTTATTTTTAAGGCTCAAACTAGGAAGAAATTAGATTTTATGTATACATTTATGAATATGTATGTATACTGTACATGATGAAATTATATAATATACAGTCATGTTGTAGATGTTTAAAAATCATGCTTCCAGCCAGGCACGGTGGCTCACGCCTGTAATCCCAGCACTTTGGGAGGCCGAGGCGGGTGGATCATGAGGTGAAGACATAGAGACCATCCTGGCCAACATGGTGAAATCCTGTCTCTACTAAAAATACAAAAATTAGCTGGGCATGGTGGTGGGCACCTGTAGTCCCAGGTACTCGGGAGGCTGAGGTAGGAGAATCGCTTGAACCCAGAAGGCAAAGGTTGCAGTGAGCCAAGATTACACCACTGCACTCCAGCCTGGCAACAGAGCAAGACTCCGTTTCAAGACTAAAAAAACAAAAAACAAACAAACAAAAAATCAATATATTATAATTCATCATTGTTATTATTTTAATGCTTAAATGTTTCCCAAATTTAACCCAAGGGAGCCCAAGACAGTTCCTTATCCATTGGTCATTGCTTCATGATTTTCTGAGCATGTCTTGCTTTCCAGCACAATAGTGTATTCCAGAAGCATATTTATATACTCCTCACCTGGAATTGACCACTTCCCCCAAGGAATTCTGACTCCCTTTAGTAGGCAATGGTCTTTAGAAATCAACACCTGAAAGTCACAACTGGAATTTGAACCCAGACTGTGAGACTGCAGAGCATGCTCTCAACATCGTACTATATGACTCTAATTAAGTATAATATCCTCTAATAAGTGAGGTACACCAAAGATGCTCTAGGAAT
This sequence comes from Homo sapiens, assembly GCF_000001405.40. Taxonomy (NCBI): domain Eukaryota; kingdom Metazoa; phylum Chordata; class Mammalia; order Primates; family Hominidae; genus Homo; species Homo sapiens. The sequence continues at coordinate 11,805 of NW_017852928.1, forward strand.
ACAGAGGAGGATGTGGGTGGAAAAGAAGGGAGGATTTCACTGGGAAGGCTTGCCTTGCAAATCTACCTTTACTGTTATTTCCATGCTGATACCAGAGTGATTTCATTTAACCACCTGGACACTATGGAAACAGTCTTTCCTACTTGGGACCAAATCTATCCCAAATTATGGTTTTCCCATATTTCACCCTAGTCACAAAAATGTCTGAAAAACTCCTCTTTCCTGGTATTCAAAAAGAGCTAAGAGAAGCCACTCCTCTCCTTCATTCTACTCCTTTGACTTCCTTTACACATTCACACATTCTGTTTCGGATTTCATTGTTTCCTCAAAGCATACAAAGTCTCTTTCAAAAGGAATTCTCTTTCTTCAGAGTCATGGTTTGGGAGCTTCTAACTCCTACCCTTCTCATAATAGACCTCTCCAGACCTCATTATCTTAGCATAAAAGTTAGTACAGAATGTCAGCATGTTTAAAACCCGACTTCTTTCCTTTCTGCAAATAAATAAATAAACAAACCCAAGTTTAGATTTCAACTATCTTGCCTCAGCCATGTGTGAGCACCTCTCAAATCCACATTTGTTTTAAGAAGGCAATTTTTTTTTACCCTAAGTTTAAATTTGCATTGTGAGGGAGTATAGGAGAAGATGGGCAGCTTGGAGTTAACACCAGGCCAGGTTTCCTTAAAGGGAGCAGCAAAAGCAAGCCAGCTGAGTGATCACCTGGGTTGCAGCGCCTGAAAATACAGAGCCTCGTGGTTTTGTGCAGTGCTAGATGGAGTCTCTTCCCTGGCATCCTTCACTTGTCACTACCGTGTGTTTTCTTTAATACTATTGCTACTGCAGTTGCCACTGCCGCTATCAGTAATGAAATTAATAATAATAATAACATCCTGACCTATTCTGCCATCGCAAATTTCAGTCCATTCTAGCCCGCAGAGGAGATGGCCAGCCTGTAACACTGCAGTTGAATATTAATTAAGTGATCTTTCAGTAGCACAAGGGAAGGAATCAAGGGCCTGTTTAAAACCATTCCCTTAGATCTATTGCAGATAGGAATCAATAAAGCATCCATGTTCAGGGTCACAAGTTGGCTTGGAAAACAAATCCACAACTGAGAACCCTATGGCCTCCCCTGGAGCACTCCAGGCCAGATCTCTCCCTGTCTGATGACAAACTCCAAGAGCCAGGGTAACCCATTACTCACTCCCAAGCTGTTGTGGGCTTTTTTTTTTTTTTTTTTTTTTTGCTGTTGCTTGACTATAAGCCAAACAAAATGAACGTTCATATGGTGAACTTGGCAGCTGTCCCACTCCAGACTGTGCTTTTCCACAAGCCAAAGGAGGCTTTGAAGCTGGCCTCCCCTCCACTTTGCCCCAAGCTGGGGAATTACCCTTGGAGGAGCAGAGATCAGCTGGCACTGAGCCATGCTGCCCTTTGGGTCAGGAGACATTCAAGAAAGGCCCGGCCTATGGGCCTCATAGCTGAGCAGAATGACTTGGCCTGTTCCCAGGGCTGCCAAAGGTGTCCTGTATCTTTTTGCTGAATTTCTAGGGATAAAAGCTTAGCATTTTATACTTACACCTTAACATAAGAATATCTGTCCTTTTGCCTGTATGTATTGAGATAGAAAGGTGTCCCACTGCAAGGCTTTAGAAATGTTTTGCAAACTCACACTCAGTTTGCCAATAATTCACAGTAAAATCTGAACTCACATAATCAAGATTGGATACAAAGAGCACTGGAATGAAGGGATGGATGAGTGAACAAATGAAATTAGACTATACCACGAAGGAATGGAGTACATGAATGAAGACCAGACATCAGGAATCTGGGTTTTGGTCCTGGCTCAGTCCCTTCCTGACTTCTCATTTAACCACTTGCAGGTCAACAGCCCCACCTAGAAAATAAAAGACTTGGAGAAATTATTTTATCTCTTCCAGATATAGATGATTTATTATATCACTTGTGTGCATATACAGATTAATAGTCAAGCATGAAAGCAGTCTATAATTTGTAGCCATCAGTAACAATCAAACAGCCTCCAAATAACCGGAAATCCAAAAGCAGCCAAAAATTGAATTATACCGCATGATTAACAAATTGTGAATATGAATTTTGACTCTGTCACAAGGTCAGGTTACTCAGCCTCTGTGGCATGGCTCACTGTAAATATTCTAGACACATGTGCTCTCAAACTAAAGTATTTTTAAAATATAACAAAATTTACCCTTAACAATTTAAATTGTTATATTTAAATTGTTGTTATTAAATTAAATTGTTGTATTAAATTAATTGTTATATATAAATTGTTATATTTAAAGTATAACAATTTACCCTATATATTAGGGTAAATATTATATTTACTCTTGGGATATTATACTAATGTCCCAAGATGGACACAGATAAGCTCTTCAAAATGGTTCCTATTTGAATACTCTAATTCTGGAGGAAACAAAGTGTTCGAATCATACCAAAGGTCTTCCAAGTAATGAACAAGTAAAGGAGCACTTCATAAAGTAAACTAGAATGCCACAATTAGTATGGATGCTTAAGATTACTCAAATGTGTGGTTTTTCTAACACTAATCTAATTTAGAAATGTATATTATAGTATTAGAAATGAATACTATAATTTAGAAATACTCACTACTTCTGACTATTCTTTTTCCTCTATTTTTATTTTGTAATTTTGAATTTTTTACTTTTCCTTTTAAGAGACAGGGTCTTGCTCTGTCACCCAAGCTGCTGTGCAGTGGCATGATTATAGCTCACTGTATCCTCAAACTCCTGGGCTCGAGCAATCCTCTTGCCTTGGTTCCCAAAATTCAGGGATTACAGATGTGAGCCACTGTGCTTGGCAATTTTAAAGTCTTAAAACAGTGTTATATTAATATAAATCATGGTAGGATTTGACATTTCAAAGAACTTGAGGATAAAAACATTTCTTAGGGGACCAAAAATGATCACTAATTTGTAAAATGGGCCTAGACTCACCCACATCTCCCAAGTGATGTTTCCTTCTTCAGAGCTGCTCTACATGTAATTAAGAGAACAGAAGGGCCGCCTGCATCAATCAAATGCACAACCTTCCCTAGCACACACAGTTCCAATGAAAATCCAAACAGCTATTGGGATGAACTGAGGAATGATGTTTATCAGGTCTTCAAGGTGAAAATACCACCAGCATTTATTACTGAGAGAAGAATCTTTTAGCAAACAATAGACCAATAAATTTTACCTCTCAAAAAAGTGTTTCACTTCATTCTTCCACTTTTGACTCCAAGTCATAAAAGACCCAGCGCAGAATAAAGTAGGTATGCTGAGAGGGTTTAGACATCCTCTCTCATGCCCAAGCAAGATCATATGCTTAAAAATGGTCCTTGGCAGAAGAATATATCTTTAATTTCTTTAACATATTAAAAATTAAGCCTGGGGCTGGGCGCTGGGGCTCGCACCTATAATCCCAGCACTTTCGGAGGACGAGGCGGGCAGATCACCCAAGGTCAGGAGATCAAGAACAGCCTGCCCAACATGGTGAAACCCCGTCTCCACTAAAAATATATAATTAGCTGGGCACGGTGGCATGAGCCTGTAATCCCAGCTACACGGGAGGCTGAGGCAGGAGAGTTGCCTGAACCCTGGAGGCGGAGGTTGCAGTGAGCCGAGATTGTGCCATTGCCCTCCAGCCTGGGCAAAAAGGGCAAAACTCCATCTCAAAACAAAAACAAACAAATGAAAAACCAAACCTGGAAGAATAAGATCATACAGTTTTCCCAGCTGTGTATGAGATTCTTCTCACCAAAACTTAGCCACAAAGCTGGAGTTAGAGCGAAAGAGGCCGTGAAGTAGATGAAAAAAAGAGAAGCCCTTCCTTTTTGGAGACTGGGCGATTGTGGTTTTAGAGAAAAATAATAAAACATATATTCTCTGATTCCATCTGTGTTAAAACTGCAAATCAGAGTTATATTTGAAAAAATGTAGGAGAGAAATCTCCTTTTGCTACATGCACTTTAAATTCTCAAGGAAGTATACTAGCTGTGTTCTCAGAAGAAAACAAATAGAATGCTAGATAATATTTACATCCCTTGCATACCAAACCAGAGGAAACAAACAGCCCTGTTCAGAAACTGGGCAGGTGAGGAAACAGTTTAAACCTGAAGGAACTCTATCACTGTGTTATGCTCCTGGAGAAGCAAGAGACCTCCTGAGATCATCAACTTTTAAAAGTAGTGTTTAATCTTCCAGGGATGAACCTTCTATTGCAACATACATAATAACAAAGTTTGTAAAACATATTGTGGCATTTAATCTATAGATGCTTATTATAGGAAATAGAAGTTATTCATTTAAACTGTAAATGTAAATACCAGCTTGTGTCAACTGACACACTACTATGTAAATTGTATAGATACTTCTGTAAGTCAGAGAGCTCCAGACTCCGTAGTCTGAACTTCCCTTTGCAGATTGAATAAGAAAAGCTAAGCAAGTGATGTTTACCACACAGTTTCATGTAGCCCAAATGATGAAGAGCCATTGTGAATATCACCTACTTTGACCCATAATGCTCCACTGTCCTAGAGATTATATTTTACCGTCTTGGTGACTCTATTGTTTTGCAGTTCGGGTTTGGATTTGATAAGTAAAATGGCAGCGTGAAAATGTTAGCCTCATGCTTAATAGGCTAGGCTATGAGGAAGAAAATGTTAAACAATAGCATTGGCATATTTTTTCCTATATATTTGAGAACCAAAAATTAAAATTAAGAAGGCAAAATAGGAATACATAGGTTTTAGAAATAATAGTGCATATATGCTCCAAAGTATACTATTTACCATTCAATTAAAAGAATCAAAAGAACTTTATTGATTGGCAAGAAAAATTAGAAAAACAAATATATATAAAACAAGAATTGCTCTCTCTAGCAATCTGTAACCCAGTTGGGTGATGGCCTCAATTAGACAGAAGCAGTATAATTGGGAATTTGATCTTTGCTCCTTTGTCGAGTTCCTAGAAAATTTCTTTAACTGTAGATGGAGAAATTATTCTAAATGATAGTCAGCAAAAAAGAGCATCTGAAATACATTTCTCACTCTCTGGAGAGTGAGAATGGCCCAGCACAGATTCCAGCATTATAAATAGGATCTTCGGCATGTACTTGACATAGGAATATATCAGGAATCTTAGTAAAGATGGGGAGTTTTCACTGTTTCAAGCAGGACAACCACAGTTTCCACGTATCTATGTGTTGGTTGTAACCTAGGTTGCAGGCAACTGCAATCACCCAAGCACACCCATCACTAGTGTGCCATTCCCAATGTTCATAACTTGCACTTTGTCAAGACTTCATTGAAAAAGTACAGGCAATAAGTGGGAAAAATAATTGTTCATTTGGTGGCAAATTTAATGGGTTTTGAAGCCTGAGGTGTGGGCAATACACCCACACACACACATGCAAACACACACACATTGATATGGTTTGGCTGTGTTCCCACCCAAATCTCAACTTGAATTATAGTTCCCATAATCCCCACATGTCGTGGGAGAGACCCAGTGGGAGGTAATTGAATCATGGGGGTGGTTACCCTCATGCTATTCTCATGATAGTGAGGGAGTTCTCACGAGATCTGATGGTTTTATAAGAGACTTTGCCCCCTTTGCTTGCCACTTATCCTTGCTGCCGCCATGTGAAGAAGGACGTGTTTGCTTCCCCTTCCACAGTGATTGTAAGTTTCCTGAGGCCTCCCCAGCCCTGCAGAACTGTGAGTCATTTAAACCTCTCTCCTTTATAAATTATCCAGTCTCGTGTATTTCTTCATAACGGCATAAGAATGGACTAATACACATATTTTAGAAAGGAACTCTAGCAATTCAATTTCTAATCTAATTATAATGTTCATAATACCACATTGTTCTGAGAAGTAGTTATGCTGCCATAAAATTCCAGAATACAAATGTAAAGGTTTGCTTCAGATTCTGTCTAAAAAATGGAAAATTTCAAACTGAAGACATCTATTTGGTTACTTCTTAGACATTCCATTTAAAGAGGTAAGTAGAGAACTAGATAAAGGAGGTGTGGAAGAAGTAAAGGGAATTTAGCTGATGCATCTATGGCTCTAATAGCAGGCATGTTCCATCTGCTTACTTTGCTAAGTAGCATATGCTGCCTGCTATAGACACTTAAATGCAACTGATGGTAGAATTGATCAATTTAAAGAGATAATTCTTTGGAGGAAGAAAGGGAACAAACTATCTCTGGATAACTTAATCCAATATAGAAAAATAAAACCATATGGATTTAATGACAGATTTAAAGTCATTTTAAAAGAAATCATAAGTAAGTATGCAAAATAGCTAAACTATTTGCTAAAACTTTTGAAAATCATAATGAAATTGGAAAATTTCTATTTTCAGGAAAAAATAGAAATCAAGATGAACTGAAGAAATATGAATCCAAAGAATAGACCCAAGGAAAAACCCAAACTGTTAGCACATCACACATTATTGCAAAATATGATGCTACACACAACAAACTGAAATAAATATACAGTGAAATGGCTGCTGAGGGGGAAGTATTCTTAAAATATTAAACACTTCATCCAGATTGAAAAGAAAAACATAAAGCCATTACAGAAAATTGACAAGGAATCTAAATAGGCAATTCACAGAAGAAAAGTTTAATATCCATTAAATAAATGAAAAATCAATCTCGCAATGTAATCAAATAAGAAAAAAATAAAAACATTAATTAGATATTGTTTTAATTTATTAAATTATCAAAATAATATGAATCCTGGTAAGATTACAATGAAACAGGAAATACCATTCAGTGCTAATATATAATTTATCCAAAAGTATGTATAATTTATCCAAAAGCCATTTGGCAATGTAGTATGAAAAGTCTTTAAAATGTTTAGGCCCTTTGACCTAATAATTCCAAAACTGAGTTTATCATAAGCAAATAATATGAAATGCAAACTTTATGTAAGTATAATATGTATAGCATTATTTATGATAGTGAAAAATTGGAAATAACCTAAATATCAACCACTGGAGACTGGTAAGTCACATCCATATGATGCAGTCATTAAAAATCACGATCCAGCTAACATTTACTAACACCAAAAATGTTCACACTATATGAAGTTCATGTTCACATTGTACAATATTCATACTACGTATGTAGAGAAAAACTAGAAAGCTATCACCTAAATGTTCATAAGATAATAATCAATTAAGCCAATTTAAATATTATGGATATTTTAATAAAATAAAAAATACTTAAGCGGTTAAAATGGAATATAAACTGTAAACTATATACAAATAAATGCAAAGAATGATGGTAAACAAATTCACAGTCCCTAGCTACGCACAAATCAAGCATTGATCTGAGCAGCCTGGGAGCTCAGGTGGCCAATAGAAAAACCAAAGGGAAGCAGTTATTCATGTTAGAAACTGGTGAGGAGTCCAGAATCCAGGAAGTGAAATATTAAACATAGAAATAGGACCACTCCTCAAAAACTGCCTGACACCAGGGCAAATGGCATCTGGCTGGCTGCTCCTAATATGCTATTTACTATAAGGGCAAGAATTTGGGTCTGTGTGAGGCTAAGTCTGATTCTACAGCTATCTGAAGAACAAGGGAACTGATACTAGATAAGATAAAAAAAGAAAAAAAGAAGCCTAATATTTCAGGTGATCTCTGACAGATATAGAAAGCAAGCTTTAAATAAAAACCTCGGACTTTCTACTGAGAAGAGAGAATTGTTGATATCAAAACAGTTCAACAAGCCTTAATAGTGCAGTCAAGTCAATCAGTACAGCTGAGAATAAGATTGAATCAGTATGGGGGCCCCATAAAATAAAAAATAGCCTGAACTAGACTCACAAAACTGTCTCTATGAGGCTCCAGACTCAAGGATGCATTTGGGGCCCTGGTGAATGTGGAGTGTGCTGATGGAGGGGCTACAAAATAGCTTCTTTTTGAATCAGCAGAATAATTTCTTAGTGCTATTTTAGTGCTATCTTTGAATGCCTAATGATCATGACAGCTACAGATACCCCAGGTCTGATTGCCTAACAGATGGGGATGATCAACTTGTTTTTCTTGCTGCACTACCTCAAGCAAGATTCCAACAGTTCACTGTAGAGTCACCAGAAAGGAACGACTTTACCTATGTTTTGCTCAACATTTTGAAAGAAAGATTGAAACAACTATTTCTGTAAGTAAAGAATTGCTGCCTAATGCTGTCTTCATCTGCAGAATAGGTGCTGAACGGATTTTTTCCCCATCACATTGAAGTTCTCTCTATACTGCAGTCTTTTAAAATGTATCTTGCACACACTACACATTTGGAGGAGGAGGAAGAGGTAGGCAGGTTGTTTACTCTGAGGAGCTCGTGAAGAGGTTGGTGGTATTATACCTTCAGGAGTTTAATCTCTGCAGCGATTGCATGTAGTTTTTCTGCAGTCGTCTCAGATAGTGACTTCCCTTTAATAGGACCATTTATGTCATTCCTTTCTACCCCTTATGGGATGATTTTTCAAATTTCTTCTGTCCAAAAGGTAACAGGCATCCTTGGTAAAGTGCCAGGAAATGTCTTGTATTGGATTTTCAGATCCACAGATAGTGCCAGGCCAAGGCAACAGGTTCCTTGTGTCGAATCACCCCAGTGGAGGGTAAAGTCAGCCCCACTCTCAACTCCACCACCCAGTAACTTGTTTTTGGAAGAGAGTGACTTTAACCTTATTGATGATTGTCCCCAAAATATAGAATATATAATTACACCTAATACTAAGAGCTGTCTGGGAAGTGGAGAAAACTGTAATATCATAGAGCTTCAAAGTAAAATTACCCCCTAAAACTAAGAGCTCATTGTATATATAGAACCAGGGTGGAAGAGGCCTTAAATAGAAATAGAATCTCACTTTCTGTGCCCAAGCAGATTTGAAACTGAAATTAAATAAATGTAGGCATTCAAATTTAATAGAGAGTTCTGCCAGGAATTGGAGTTAGACTACCTAAAAGCCTGCCATTAAGGGTGTATTTCTTTAACTAAAAGGCTTAGGTATCCATAACACCTAAAACTGGATCCTTAATCTCCTATGAAATATCAGCAGCTCCCCTGAAATGAGCATACATAATGAGCCAACTGTCTACCTTCTGTTGACTGATCAGCACCTGCACAAAACCTGACTCACATACCCTAATTACAATCAAGAACAATAACCTTTCATATTTATTAACCCAATGTAATATTCCTAGAAATGTTTACAGTGGAGGAAGAGTTTTATTTTTTTCCTAAAAATTGTGAACATATAAGTAACTGTAAACATTCCAGAAACATTATGTTCAAGTTCAAACATTCTAACCTCCCACTGTTACTTTATTAATCCATATACATAATTCTGAGTTAAAATGTATAAAGCATAAATAAATAAAATGTATAAAATGTATAAAGCACTAATCTTTATAGCCACAACACTCACAGGAAAAAGGAAGTACAATAGTGATTTTCTTCTTTCCCAGTCATTTTCTAAAAATGCTTATTCATTAGTTCATTCAATAAGTATTTATTGCAGTCACTGTTCCAGGTAGTAGGGACAAAATAGTAAACAAAATAAACACAAATGCTGGCCCTTGAGGAGCGTATAGTCAGTGGAGGTGAGGTGGATGTAGTTTATTCATTTGATTGCAATGTATACCTTTTCCAGAGTACATTTACTACTTAAAGTGCAAGCCAAAAATACAAAAGCAATTATCTTTGCTATAATAATAAGGAGTAGTGCTTGCTAGATCCCTCCAACATAGAAGCGGAATTGTGGTAACAAATGGCACGAGTGCTCTCAACTTAGGTATTCTTCTTATCATTATGTAAATGGATTCTTTTAACTTGGAAATTTATTCTTCAAAGTCCCTCTTGGGCAGATGGGAGCCTGTACTAGACCTGAAACATCAGAATTATTAGGTCAAAAATAGGTATATTTTTAGGATTTTAGTACATAGTACAAAATGCTCTTTTAGAAAGTGAGCCAGTTGATTATTCTAGCAGCAGTGCATGATACCCACTTCACCCAGAGATGCCCCACACCAGCCCTAGTTTTTTTGCTGGGTCTTTTTCAGTATGATAGGTCTAAACAATGTCCTATGGTGATCACCATTTGCATATGACATAGACAGTTGTAGATAGATTTCACTGTTGGAATAATTAAACAAAAGTTGAATGAGCTTTGAAGACCTCTCTCTCTCTCTTTTTTTTTTTTTTTCCTATTCACAGTCTTGGGTTTTACAAGCTCTGTTTCTGTCTAAGAAAGTAGAGCTCCTTTGGTGAGTTATCTCTGACTCACAGTAGAGAGATTCCTAAACATGCCCAGTATTTGATTCATCAGTTCCTAAATCATCTAATCTTGCTCCATTTGTCCTCTGGCCCACCTTGGTAAATTCATCAGGACACATTTTGTCCAAATCAATCTCAATCTATCTTATGCAAGGGGAAAGAAGTTTATTGATTCAAATAACTGGGAAGTCAAGAGGTAGATCTAGCATGGCTGGATCCAGAAGCTCTAACAATGTCAATATCAATTCAGTCTTTGTCTCCTCTCTCCCTCTTCCCACCCGCCTATTTCTCTTTCTTCCATTTGTCTCTGCTGTTCATGATGTTTTCCTAGCAGCCTTCTGTGCTAGCTCCCACAGAGACATTCCAAAGAGAACATTGGCCTGACCTAGGTGCACAGCCATGTGCCCATCCCTGTGAGCTTTGTAGTTTTGCAGAGTGGGGATGGAGTATGGAAGAGATATACTCTGATTAATAGCCTTACTCAGACTATGTGGAGTACAGGAGGAGTTCAACAAAGGAAGCAGGAGAAGAGGATAGGAAAGCTCGTTGAACAGGCGACAACTATAGTTACCACTATTCACTCTAGTTTCCAACCTTCTCTTCTTTTTATGCCCTGTCAATTACATGAACTACAAACCATGCCCCCATGTTTCCCCTGGCCTTTAGCCTTCACTTTCTGGCTGGTCACACGTTTTTATGTCCCATTCAGCTTGGGCTGTCTATAGAGGCCAACAATTAGAGCAACAGCCCTTCCAGACCAACTGTCCCAGCTTGATGACTCAGGTATATAAATTCTGTCATTTTCACTCTAGTCTACAATAGCAAACTAAAGTAGGAGATACAATTTTGATGAAGCAGCAGTTTCTCAGGCTTCTGAATGTCCATACCTCATCAAAATCTGCAGGAATTTTGAGGCAGCGACATGAGAGAATGTCCGGTGGGGCAGGCAGCTTGTTCAGGGCTGTAAGGTGGCTGATTTAGCTGTGGGACTGGCTGGCAGGGAGGTAGGAGGGAAACGGAGTAGAATGGAATAGGGATGGAGAGAAATCAGTGAAGTATGTGCTCCTTTATGGTAGCTTGCTGGTTTCCCCCCAACAGACCAGCCCCAACAGGAGCCCAGGACCCCTGACCTCAGCTCTCCTAACTGAGCTGCACCTCAGAGTTGGTTCTGGGCTTTCAGTGCTGCCCTCAGAAGTAACCCTTCTCCAGAACTCCAACACAGTCACGTGGCTTGAGCAGGTCATGGTAGGCACGCTTCATCCATCTTCATTATCATAAACAGATCTGAGTGACCTTTGTAAAGAAATTGAATCATTTAACAGAATATTTATTACCATTTTTGTTTTTTGTTGTATTTGCTTGACTTCGCTTCATTACTAACTTGTCTGTTCTTTCCTCAGTAATTTTTTACTCTTTTAAATGGGGAAAAAGAAAGAGGCTTAGTCTCGTGTTAAGGCCATACCCCAAAGAAAGGGAGCTAGATGCCTTCTCTGGCTTCCTCTTTTCTCAACAGCCACGCCTCCGCCTACCAGCCAGGTTCTGCAGTGGGTGTTTTAGCATCTTTCAGTCATTCGGTCAGTCACTCAACAAACACTAACTGATGCCGGGTGCCAGGGCTGGGGTTTCAGATGTGCACTTAGCTCACACTTGAAAAGGATTCCCATTCCAGCCACAGAGTGACCTTCTGACCTTAAAAACCCACCTCTGGAGAAGGCTGTTGATCATATTTTTTGTATCTTACCAGTGTGGATACTTTGAAACAGAGAATTTAAATAACTTGTCTAAAATTACAAAACTAGCAGAAAGTATTTACACCAGGGATTTCTTTAAATCCCCTGCTCTTTCCACTGAACAGTGTGGCCTCTTTAAGCATGCAAATACACTGTGGTGGGTTGCATTTCAGAGAGGCCAAGATTTTCAATCCATGATTGTTTCTTTTCAGGTGTTCTACCTGCTATTCTAGCATCAGATGAGCCAGTCCACCTGCTGGGGGTAGAGAACTAAGAGCAGCTCTCAGGTCTCCCTGGGTTTAATCTAGAAATTAAAAAAATAGTGATTTCCTGATATTACCCTTTAAATAAGGGAACAATTTAAAAATATAATATTAAAAAACTTAGATTTGGGAGCTAAGCTACAAGGATGCCAAGGCATAAGAATTATACAGTGGACTTCGGGGACTCGAGGAAAGGATGGGAGGGGGATGAGGGATAAAAGACTACACATTGGGTACAGTGTACACTGCTTGGGTGGTGGGTGCACCAGAATCTCAGAAATCATCACTAAATAACTTCTTCATGTAACCAAACACTACCTGTTCCATAAAATCCTATTGAAATTAAAACAAACACCTAGAGTAAGGTCAATAGGAAGAGCATTTCATCAGGAATTAATAAATCTAGGTCTAATTCTACCATTGACAATCTATGTTGGGCAATTTATTTCCACCTCTCAAGGCCTCTATTGCAAAATGAAACATTCAAATTAGATTCTCTCTAATACCCCTTCCAGTTCTAAAATTCTATGATCCAGATATATACATCATATAACATAATGTATCTTTCATTTCCATTTTTCTCCTCTAAGAAAAGACTATTAACTGTTTAACTTAAGGTCTCTGGGATGTTGAAAAGCCCCAGGGCTTAAGGAACAATTTTCTTCAGCTGGAGCTCTGTCAGGCATTGGCTCTAATTGCTCTTTGAAAGATCCTTATCTGTAAATCCAGGTTGGCCTCCATCCCTTCTGTATTAGTAGGATCCCTAGAGAAATGGAAATAAGAGGAATGTATAGACACAGCCATGAGGATTTATTGTGGGAATAGGCTTATGTGACTGTGGAGGCTGAGAAGTCCCATACTATGTGGTCTGCAAGCTGGAGAACAGCAAAGCTGCTTGTATAATTCAGTCCAAGTCTGGTGGCCTGAGAACCAGTGGAACCAATGGTGTAACTCACAGTCCAAGGCTGAAGTCCCAAATATCAGGCAGGCTGCTAGTGTAAGTCCCAGAGTCTGAAAGCCCAAGAACCAGGAGCTCCAATATCCAAGGACAGAAGATGAATGTCTCAGCTCAAAAAGATGGAGAGGACTTTCCTTTGCCTTTTTGTTCTATTTGGGTCCTTAAAGGATTGGATGATGGCTGCCCACAATGGTGAGGACAGATCTTCTTTTCTTAGTCTGTTGATTTGAACGCTAATCTCTTCCTGAAACACACCCTCACAGACACACCCAGAAATCATGTTATACCAGCTGCCTGGGTATCCCTTAGCCTGGTAAAGTTGACACATTAGCTTGACCATTACACTTTCCTTCTGTTGTCACTTACAGAGGTCCTCCCATCACTCACCACTGCCCTGGCAGCCTTCTGGTTCTCCCAAGCAAAGCAGGTCTCTGAAATCAGGTTCTCTCTGATCCTCTCATAGCTGCAAGATTAACACATAGCAGGAAGAAGTGAGCTCTCCACTCAGTCCCTCTGTATCTTCCTCTCCCTGGGTAATTTTGGGAAGATTAGAGAGAAAATTGATGAAGCTTTTGGGGGCACAGGAGGTGCCCAACAAGTGTCAGTTTATCCTTTCCTGACAAAGGGGCCCCAACCCTTGGGTTCAGGGGGTCTTCCTCTTAGTAGTCTTTCCTAAAGAGAGTATTATTTAATCAGAAGCTAGTTTTTGAGACACACATTTTTATCTAATATTTCCATGTGCACAGAATTACACTTTAAACATAACATGGAGCAGTCAAATTAGCCCAGACTTGACTAGTTGTCTCCAAATATGATTGCAATTATGTTCAACATATGTACTCTCAACTGGAATGGGAAAACCACCATGTGTAAAACACACTTCTTGGCTTCCTTAACTTGGGTTCTGATCAAAAAGATGAACTGATTTTAGGTATAAAAGGAATTGAGATGTGAGAGATGGTTTACCTGGGGTCACAGGCATCAGTCTTCAGAGCTCTAAATTAGACCCCTTTATTCATGTGTTGTTGCCTCTCTCCAAATCCACTGGCTTCTCTCATCCAGCAAATACCTTTCATATGACCTCAGTGCTCCAAAATTGAGGCATCAGCTCTCTTAATTTAGCAGGTCAGAATAGGTGGCTCCTATAGCCAGTCCCCTTAGGACCCTGTCCCTTGACATCTGAAATCAAGAGAATGTAATCTTAGTAACAAAGCATATGAGAAAGTTGATGGTGCAAAGGCCTTCTCTTCTCATCTGGTTACTTGAGTGCACTTCAGCTTGTCCTCAGGCAACTCACGGTCCTTGTACATGCTGTTTCCTCTGCTTGGAATTCTTCTTCTTCTCCTAGCTTGGACATTCCAACTTATCCTCCAGGTCTGTTTTGATGTCATTATCTTCAGGAAGTCTACCCTGACTCCATAAAAGTCCGAGTTAGATCCTATGTGATCCCTAATGCCCTGGCTTATATCATCTATATCATTCTCTCTATTGCACCTGTCTAGACCAGCAGTGTCCCATGGAAAATACTGTAATGATAGAAATGCTCTATATCTGCACTGTCCAAAATGGTAGCCGTCAGCCACATGTGAGCTATTGGAATATTTGAAACATGGACAGTATAGCTGAGGAAGTAAACTTTAACTTATAATACTTAAATTTAATTAAATATAAAAGCCACATGTAGCCACTGGCTACCATACTGGACCACGCAGGTCTAGACATTATAACTCTTGAGCACAAGGGCTGTGTTTTGTTCACCTTTGAATCATTCGTACTTAGCCAAGGGGTGGGCAATCAGTAGGTGCCGGGTGAATATTTTTGGAATGAGTGATTTTAGTAGAAATCCCAGTTTTGTTGTCTCAAAAGATGAACTTTCACAGTGGAACCTCCAGGCCAGGAAGAAATGGAAGTGATTCCTTGATTGACAAAGAGGAAGCTTTAAAAAGCAAATGAGATTGTCACCTGGAACAAATTCTAGGTGGACAAGGGTGCCGTTGGTGCCTCCCTCTTCTTTTCTTAGTGCCCTTTCCCTTCTCCCAGGGTGTCTCACCCCGAGCCCTTAGTCTCTCAGGTCCAGCCTACTGCTTCCTGCCCACCCAAGACCTCATACAGATGCACCCCAGTGTATCAGTGAGATCCTTTGGTTGCAACTGGCAAAAACCAATTCAGGCCCACTTAGACAAAAAACCAACTAGAAGGATATGGGGTAATTCACATAATTAAAGAAAAGTTGGACACTTGGACTTCAGAATGGACAGGAATCAGAGCAACCCTGGAAATCCTGGTGTCAGGACCTAATGAAGAAGCTCTAGAGGGAGCTGCCCTTGGGATAATGGGACCTAGATGATTCTTTGCATCTGTTCCAGGATTCAAGCAAAGGGAGGGTGTTTTCAGTTGCTCCAGCTTTGAACAGGGAAGGACAGGCACCATGATTGACTCTTGCCAGACATAAATCCAATGAGAGGCAGTGGTTTCTCCCAAAGTAAAATCAGAGTGCTCTAGCTAGAATAGATACTGGCAGGCAAAAATGATAGATATCCATGATGGCCCCACTGACTAGAGCTCCACAGCAATGTCCTTCTGGATCTTTCCTTTCTGTCTCCATCTTTATCTCACCCTCAGCCTGGTCCACCCAAGGAAAAAAAAAATACCCAGTATCTCATGGTATTGAAAAATTTGCCTGTGTTTGGTCTTTAAATAGGCTTTGTCCTAGATCTCACTTTCTTCATCTCCTCACTCTAAGAAAAAAAAATTATATGCAACTACATCTGCAAGGATAATAGCTACAATGTATACATATACACACATACATACACACACACACACACACACACACACACACACACACAAATATTTATAATCCAATGGTGAGAATGGTTGGTCAGCTTTAGGTATCCATCGCCAAGAGAGGGGACTGAGAAGATTTAAGGGAAAATTCAAAACGGTGACACATGAGAGACCAGAACAACTCTATCAAGTCACTGGTTTCAGCTTTATCTGGTAGAGACACCTAAATCCTTGAGATCTGAAGCCCTCAAAATGGAGAAACAATGGCCCAAACAAACCATGCCTTAAGCCACAAAACAATTCTTGCAGAAGTGCTCACTCAGGACTCTGCTGAAAGTACAGTGGTCATTCTCAATAGAAAATGATTATCCAGGCCAGCTGCGGTGGCTCACGCCTGTAATGCCAGCACTTTGGGAGGTTGAGGTGGCTGAATCACCTGAGGTCAGATGTTTAAGACCAGCCTGGCCAACACAGTGAAACCCTGTCTCTACTAAAAAAATACAAAAATTACTTGGGCGTGGTGGCAGGCGCCTGTAATCCCAGCTACTCGGGAGGCTGAGGCAGGAGAATCACTTGAACCCAGGAGGCAGAGGTTGCAGCGAGCCGAGATTGCACCATTGCACTCCAACCTAGGCAACAAGAGCAAAATTCCATCTCAAAAAAAAAAAGAAAAGAAAAGAAAAAGAAAATGGTTCTCTACACTGTGACCAAAGTGATGGCTGACAATTCACAACCACTTCAGCTGCGGCTTCACTGTCCCAGCAGAGAAGGAAAGGCCGACAAACACTGATGATAAAACTCACCAAACCATAAGATTTGCTCACACATTCCCTGAAAATAATCAAAACCCAGCTGCTTAGTCTCTAACTGGGTGGCAAGCCTATCTCTCCTACCCACAATTGTTCCAGCTGTCAATTATGGCCAGTGAGTCACCACTGCCGAGAGATAAGCGTCCTGCTACAGAGACAAACCCAAGTGTCATCCTGGGAGTGCTTATTATTTCTTTCTGACACCACCAATGTTCCACTTGGCTTCCTCCATCTGGCATTTCAGCACCTGAAAAGTTTCTAACTTGGAATGCAATCCACATCCGGCTTTTGAGAGCTGTAACTCTCTTTGGAGGCTTCTGAATCTTATACCACTGCAGGGAAATCATGTTGAAGATGACTGAGCAATGCACACTGTCAACAGGGGCTACACAGGGCAAACTCTGTTTTGTGGTGGGGATATGAATGGCATAATAATGTAGTAGGGAGAGATTGAGAAAGTTAATATAATAACCCAGCAAATGAAAAATAGGTAGCTTAGACTCTATAGATGCTTAACAGAGACAGACATCACTGAGATTAGAGTATTGAGGGAAGACAGGATAGCAAACAAAAGAAATCAAATGTTGGCCAGGCTGGTCTTGAACTCCTGACCTCAGGTGATCCACCCTCCTCGGCCTCCCAAAGTGATGGGATTACAGACATGAGCCACCACACCCGGCCAGATTCATTGTTTTCAGGAGCTGGGGAGAGGTGGGAATGGGGAGTGACTGCTAATTGTGTTCAGGTTTTTCTTAAGGGAATCAGAAATGTTCCAAAATTTGATTGTAAGGATGGTTGCAAAACCCTATAAATATTCTTTAAAAACCCACTAAATTGTACATTTTAAGTGGGTGAATTGTTTATATGTGAATTATGTATCAACAAAGCTGTCTAAAACATATTCTGGAGTTTGGGTTTTTTAAAAATAAATATTTGCTCATTCAGGTTGTTTTCATACAACTCATATCTCCTTATTCTAAAAGTCAACTGCTGAGAAAAAGCAAATTAATTACAACTTTATTTTAATTTCTCTATCTCCAGAACTAGTAAAGTTCTCCAGACCTGCCCATTGTCCTTGGGCAACCCACAGCACAAACATCAATGATACAAGCAGCCCCTTCCAGCCCACAACACTCATTTGTTCATTCTCTCATGAACTTACCTAAAGAATCACGGGCCAGCAATGCTCTAGGTTCTGAGGAGATAGTGGTGGATCTCTAGACAAGCTCCCCAGCCACTACAGCTCAAATTTCAGTCAAACAGAGGTGAGAAGGGGTAAAAAGGATGTCAAGCAACCCCTTGGAATCGAAGGGGAGACCAGGAACATAAAGAACACACTGGAAAGGTGTGAGTCAGGCTTTGGTCATCTACAGTTGTCATCTAGTGCAATGTGGAGTTGAGCAGGATGGAAACTAGGGGCTGGGCTGAGCAGAGTTGGTAGCAGAATGCATTGTATGGGTTCAGTACAGGAGCCCAGGTGAAGAGTGCAGGAGTCAGTAAAGGTCAGTTACCAAGCCATATAAGCCTCCTTCAGAACAGGCACCAGGGCTTTTGAACTGGGTGAAAACAATCTAGGGAATGAGCTACAGGAAAGCCAAGTGTCTGACTAAATCTTCTTAGTTGTCCTGTTAGACCCGTGGCTGGACCTAGCTGTGGCATCAGTTTCCTCGTCTGTAAAGTTAATATAATAATAACCACCTTGTTAGGAGGATTAAATGAGATAAAGCAAGCCTAGATACCTATCAGAATTACACATTTAAAACAGTGCATTTTAGTTTGTTTATCTAGGAAATATTCTATTACATAATATATATTAATTATAACAAGGTATTATTCAATCGTACAATAATGAAGCCACTTGCTTCGAACTTTTTCACCCAAAATGTACAAGTGGACTGTTATCTTCTACTTTCAATTCCCGCCTCCTGGTGAAGGTTATGTTCAATTGCTTTTCAAGTATTGATGACCATTTCTTCATACTTACTGATATGAAAATATGCTATAATAATAGTATGATAAACTATTATATAGATAAACTTGTGTTAGTCAGGGTTCTCTAGAGGGACATAACTAATAGGATACATATATATGTACATATCTATATATAAACTTGTATATAAACTCCCATATATATATATATATATATATACATATACACATATATATATGTATATATGGGAGTTTATATATATACACACACACACACACACACACACACATATATATATGGGAGTTTATAAAGTAGTATTAACTCACATGATCACAAGGTCCCACAATAGGCTGTCTGCAAGCTGAGGAGCAAGGAAGCCAGTCCGAGTCCCAAACCTGAAGAGCTTGGAGTCTGATGTTCGAGGGCAGGAAGCATCCAGTATGGGAGAAAGATGTAGGCTGGGAGGCCTAGCCAGTCTAGCCTTTTCACATTTTTCTGCCTGCTTTATATTCTAGCCCCACTGGCAGCTGATTAGATGGTGCCTACCCAGATTAAGAGTGGGTCTGCCTTTCCCAGCCAACTGACTCAAATGTTAATCTCCTTTGGCAACACCCTCACATACGCACCCAGGATCAATACTTTGCATCCTCCCATCCAATCAAGTTGACACTCAATACTAAACATCACAAGTGCATCCTTTGTCAGCATGAATCCACACACATCTCCTGAGATCATACATAATCTTCAAATAAAGACAATAATGTAATAATTACGCCCAACATCATACAACTGTCCTTCATCCATTGGAAATACACAAATCCCCAACCCAAATGTTATTACATAAGTTAACAATACTTAAATACTGATACGAAGTCAACAAATCTATGTCACATGATAAAGGAAAAGGAAATAAAATGAAGATATTTTCTTAGTACAGTGTTTACATGCATTAACATGTTTTTAACAAAAAGAAGAAATACTCATGACAATTACAGTCCTCAGTTCTGCAACTGGTCATGTGGTCATAGCTGGTATTGATGACTACCTTCTTCTACTACCTATTCTGTATTCCCTTTGCCTTTGCAAGGACCTCAGCAGGTCGTGGTTTTTTTCCTGGTGGAGTGACACAAACCTTCATTCCTGAAGGGTCTGGGCCGTTTTTAGTCCTGCCTGGATTAGGCTGTTGTAATTTCCCATTGACCTTAATCACAGGGCATGGTAATTCAAAGAGACACCCCAAGGAATCTTCTGTATTCCATGCATACTCTTCCTTACCTCTGTTGTGGTGTGGAAGACTAATTTCATCTTGATAGTCCAGGTCAATCACCCCAGCCAACACTGTAACTCCATTCTTAGCCTGTTGACTTAAAGGTAGGAGGACCCCAAAGTGTCCGGGTGGCAATCTTAACTTCCAGTTTAATGGAATCATTGTTGTGTCTCCTGGTGGTAGCGTTCTCCCTCTGGAACTAAGACCTCTAGGACAGCAGAACTAATGTCTAGAGAACAGGAAGCAAAAATGTTGCTAGTGGATCACTAGGGGTGATGGTGAGTGGTACCACTTCCACTTCCACCCCTTGATTCCTGGACCCATGAATCCTGGCTATGGGAGAAAGAGTACCATATATTAGACGCTGATTCAGACCATACATAGCCTTCTGGAGAACTTTGCCCCAGTCCTACAAAGTATTGTCACCTAGTTGCCATTGTGATTGTGACTTCAAAAGGGCATTCATCTGTTCTATCAATATCAGGTGCTGCAGGATGATGGGGAACATGGTAAGACCAGTGAATTGCATGAGCATGAGCCCACAGATGGTAGTCTTGGCAGAAGCATTGTGTGCAGGATAGGCAAACACGTATCTGGAGTAAGTGTCTATTCTGGCGGACAAACCTCTGCCCTTCCCATGATGGAAGAGGTCCAATATAATCAACCTGCCACCAGGTAGCTGGCTGATCACCTTGAGGAATGGTGCCATATTGAGGGTTCAGTGTTGGTCTCTGCTGCTGGCAAATTGGGCACTCAGCAGTGGCCGTAGCCAGGTCAGCCTTGGTAAGTTGCTGAGTCCATGTTGCTGAGCCCATGCGTAACCTCCATCCCTCCCACCATGGCCACCTTGTTCATGGGCCCATTGGGCAATGACAGGGGTGGCTGGGGAAAGGGGCAGAGTGGTGTCCACAGAATGGGTCATCCTATACACTTGATTATTAAAATCTCCTCTGCTGAGGTCACCCATTGGTGAGCACTCACATGGGATACAAATATCTTCATAGTTTTTGACTACTGAGAGAGGTCCATCCACATACCTCTTTCCCAGATTTATTTGTCACCAATTTTCCAATCATGCTTCTTCCAAGTCCCTGACCATCCAACCAAACCACTGGCTACAGTCCATGAATCAGTATATAATTGCAGATCTGGCCATTTATCCCATGCAAAGTGCACAACCAGGTGTACCACTCAACAACATTCTGCCCACTGGGGAGATTTCCCTTCAGCACTGTTCTTCAGGGATGTCCTAGAAAGGGTCTGTAGTGCTACAGCTGTCCACTTTGGGTGGTACCTGAATATCGTGCAGAACCATCTGTGGACCAGGCCCTAGTCTTCTCTTCCTCTGTCAGCTGATCATAAGGAACTCTCCATGAAGCCATCAGTGCAGGCTGTGGGGAGAGAAGGCAGAGTGGCAGGAGTGGGGACCATGGGCATTTGAGCCACTTCCTCATGTAACTTACTTGTGCCTTCAGGACCTGCTCCAGCACGGTCATGCACATATCACTTCCATTTGATGATGCAATGCTGCTGTGCATGACCCACTTTATGGCTAGATGGGTCAGAAAGCACCCAGTTCATGATAGTCCATTCAGGTTGCATGGTGACTTGATGACCCACAGTCAAACGTTCAGTTTCCACCAAAGCCCAGTAACAACCCAAGAGCTGTCTCTCAAAAGGAGAGTAGTTATCTGCAGAAGATGGCAGGGCCTTGCTCCAAAATCCCAGAGGCCTCTGCTGTGATTCACCTATGGGGGCCTACCAAAGGCTCCAAACAGCATCCCTATCTGCCACTGACACCTCAAGCACCATTGGATCTGTTGGGTCGTATGGCCCAAATGGCAGAGCAGCTTGCACAGCAGCTTGGACCTGTTGCAGAGCCTTCTCCTGTTCTGGACCCCACTCAAAACTGGCAGCCTTTCAGGTCACTTGATAAATGGGGTGGAGTAACACACCCAAATGAAGAATGCGTTGCCTCCCAAATCCAAATAGGCCCACTAGGGGTTGTGTCTCTTTCTTGGTTGTAGGAGAGGCCAAATGCAGGAACTTATCCTTCACCTTAGAAGGATTATCTCAACAGGCCTCACACCACTGGACCCCTAGAAATTTTACTGAAGTAGAAGGTCCCTGAATTTTTGTCAGATTAATTTCCCATCCTCTAAATTAAACCAAGGAAATCAGGCATTTCCAGCTCACTTACAGTGAGCCATCATTTAATCCACATTTCAGCTAACCAAGCAAATAAACTATTAGAACATTTTTTAACTCCCCAAGCTGCAACATTAAATGCAGAATCCCTACTTAGTGGGCCCAAATCAGTACATTCAGCCTGATCCAACTCTATTCCTTCCACCATTATCCCACACCCTTAATATCCATTCCCATGCCTGTTCTCCAGGTTTCTGCTTACATAAATTAGAAAACTCAAGCAGTTCTTTTCGAGGGTAGTGCACTTCCTCATGGGTCACAATCTGAACCTCACCTCTAGGGGCCAGACACGACTTCAGTCTAGTTATAGGTCTAGAAGCAAACAGGGATGTTGGGGGTGGCTTCTGAGGAGAATCGACATTATCTTTCCTGGCAACTGCCACAGCGGAGGCCATCACTATTGTCTCAGGCAGTGCAGGGTCTAACTCCTCAGACAAAGGCTGATGGCAGCATGGGTCGGGGAGGGGATGTTGCCACTACTGGGGGTGGGGAAGCTGTTTCTTCTTGCAAAAAAGGTTCATCAGAGTTTACAAACTCAGCGTCCCCAGCTTCATCAGGGTCCTCCCACATGTCCCCATTCCAAGTTGCAGGGTCCCATTGTTTTCCAATCAATGCCCTCTCTTTAACAGTAGACACCTGGCGAGGCTGTGCATGCACCTTTCATTTCAGGTCAGCCACTAGCATGATAAGAGCTTGTGTCTGTTTTTCCACAATTTCAGCTCCTTCTCAGCAGGAAATAAGACTCTCACACAGGGCAATCTTAGCAGATTTGAGGCTCAGTATCTGCTTCTGAATCTGGGAGTGAGAATCCCTGAGTTCATCATTTTCTTTCATCACCTTGTCTAGTGAACTTAGGAGCAACCAACCAGCTTCATTGTGTTCCTTGGTTCTCCACATATAGTCAAAGGGATTACGTATAGAGTCACTAAACTCCTTGCCTCTCATAAGCAATAAATTAGGAGTGTCAAATGCATTTATTTTGCGTAACTCTCTAAACAGTTCATGACAAGGGCTATCAGCATTCTCCATACTATTAGAAGTAGAGTCCTTAGCATTTTCGGATGTAATCATATTAAGCAGACAACTCCAGAAACCCCAAAACCAATGAAAGAACTCCATCCTTAATATTCTGTTCCTCTAGAACAACTCCTGGCACCAAAATCTGTATTAGTCAGGGTTCTCTAGAGGGATATAACTAATAGGATAATAAACTTATATATATATATAAAATACATATATAATATATATATAAAATACATATATATTATATATATTATATATAATACATATATTATATATTATATATAATACACGTATATAATATATAATATATAATACATATAATATATATGATATATAATACATATAATATATATGATATATAATACATATATAATATATATGATATATAATACATATATAATATATATTATATATAATACATATATAATATATATTATATATAATACATATATAATATATATTATATATAATACATATATAATATATATTATATATAATACATATATAATATATATTATATAATACATATATAATATATATTATATAATACATGTATATAATATATATTATATATAATACATATATATTATATAATACATGTATATAATATATATTATATATAATACATATATATTATATATTATATATTAATATATTTATATAATAGTAATATATAATATTAATATATTATATATATTAATATTATATATAATACATATATTATATATAATATAAATATATATAATACATATATAATACACATATTATATATAATACATATATTATATATAATATATATATTATATATAATATATATGTAATATATATATTATATATGTATACTATATATATATATGTAGTATTAACTCACATGATCACAATGTTCCACAATAGGCCATCTGCAAGCTGAGGAGCAAGGAAGCCAGTCTGAGTCCCAAACCTGAAGAACTTGAAGTTCGATGTTCGAGGGCAGTAAGCATCCAGCACAGGAGAAAGATGTAGTCTGGGAGGCTAAGTCAGTCTAGTCTTTTCAGGTTTTTCTGCCTGCTGTGTATTCCAGCCATGCTGGCAGCTGATTAGATGGTGCCCACCGAGATTAAAGGTGGTCTGCCTTTCCCAGCCCACTGACTCAAATGTTAATCTCCTTTGGCAACACCCTCACAGACACACCCAGAATCAATACTTTGCATCCTTCAATCCAATCAAGTTGACACTCAATATTAACCATCACAAAACTATTATGTAATAGTATGATTGTATTATATTAGAAACTAAATTAAGGGAAACATACAGACTTCTCTGGGTCTTCCAAGCAAGACCTCAGCGCCTTGAGAGAAACAATAAAGCCCACATGGATCCAGGCATGGGTCGATTCAATGACCACAGGCCTTGTTCTCAGCTGGGGACAAACCCTGTATTTTCAGGAGAGTGAACAGAGATGTTACTTTAGATAGGTGGTCAGAGAAAGGTCTGAGATAGTGATATCTGAGCTGAGAGCTGAATGCTAAAAGTCAGCTTGGTGATTATTAGGTAAAGCCTTCCGGGCACAGAGAATGCAAGTGTGAAAATCTGAGGTTGACATGAGTTTGGGTGTTTGGGGAACAGAAAAAATGTCCTTGTTCCTGGAGCATGGTGTGGTGATAGGAGAAGGGATCAGAGAGATAACCAGGGGTCAGAATTTACTCCAAATGCCAAGATTTGGTTCATTTCAGAAAGGCAGACTAGGCCAGGCATGGTGGCTCACGCCTGTAATCCCAGCACTTTGGGAGGCTGAGGCAGGTGGATCACAAAGTCAGGAGATCGAAACCAGCCTGGCCAACATGGTGAAACCCCATCTCTACTAAAAATACAAAAATTAGCTGGGTGTTGTGGCAGTCTTCTGTAATCCCAGCTACTCAGGAGTCTGAGGCAGGAGAATCACTTGAACCCAGGAGTTGGAGGTTGCAGTGAGACGAGATTGTGCCATCCTGGGGGACAAGAGCGAGACTTAATCTCAAAAAAAAAAAAAAAAAAGAAAAGAAAAGAGAAAGAAAGACAGACTACACAGGTAAAGTTGTAGATAGGTTGGTAGATTTGATGGTGGGAATGTGAAGAATTCTCTAAAAGAACCAAAATTGCCTAGTGCCAGAGAGGAGCAAAGAGAAGCAGGAGTTAAGAGCTATCTCAGAGGCAGTTTCATGGCCAAGAAAACTAATTTTCTGTCTCCTCCAGAGGTCTGTAATTCCACTCTGGTAATCATTTAATTAAGATCTTGAGATATATATATTTATTTTTCTTTTAACTGTACAGACTTGAATTTGCAGGGAACCTTAAGTTACATAAATATACTTTCTTTCTAACTTGATAGAATCTTGCAAACTTTCATATTCTTTTGATGATATTAAACATCTTATCAATATTTAAAATGATATCCCACTGAATTTTGCATGCCTCAAATGGCTTTATCTGACTTTGTGTTAAAACTTGTAAGGTCATTTTACTGACAAGTGAGAAGGGAGAGAAAAAAGGGCAAAGAAGTCAATGGTTTGCACACATTGAGAGACATACAGAGTGGAGGTTAAGGACATAGACTCTGGAGTCTGGCTGCCTGGAGTTGGATCCAGCTTTGCTTTGTACTGGTTGTGTTACCTGGAGCCAGCTATTGAACACCTCTGTGTTTCACTTTTCCCATCTGAAAAATGGGGTTAACAATGGTACCTAGTTAATGGGGTTGCTGTGAGGACTGAATGAGTATGTGCATGTCTCCACCATCTTATAGCATCTCTCCAAGTCGTTTTGGGGCTTCCCCTTGCTCCAGCTGTGGCTGCAGTGATCAATTCTCTTCGGGCTTTGACCAGCTTTCCCTAGGGGCAACTTGACAGTGCCTCATTGCTGGCCCTCCTTGCGTACCTGCTGCCTCCTGCCCAGGGCCTCTCTGATAACATAGCGTAGGACACCTGTGGAACCTACTCTGAACTCTAGAGCTCTAGACATGAACAATCTAGCAATGTAGGGGAACTAAAGCCATGTGCCTACCCTTGGCCTGTGAGGAATAGGAGTCATGGTTATATTCCCCTCTTTTCTGTTGGGCAGATAGTTCTGAAAGCATTTATAAGGCTTCCTGCCAAGCACCACGTGCCCGTAGTGGTAGCCCCCAAATAAGGCACCCTTGTATTGCTTTCCTCCTTCTATATTTCATTGGCTTTTGTCTCTTACACATACTTTCTGGGATCATTTCCCAAATAAACTACTTATGTGAATGCCTTTGACTCATGCTCAGTTTTCGGGGGAGCTCAAGTTAAGACCACATGTAAAGTGCTTAGAACGGCGCTTGGAACATTGTATGCACTATGTAAGTGCTAGCTATTATTATTTTTGCAAGGGAATGATGATTGTGATGGGCCATAAATCTTAAGCTGAGTTAGGTGGGAAGTAAGGAAAGGATAAGGATACTAGAAAGTGAGAAAGTGGTGGGACCAGGGGATTGGAGGTCACATAAGGTGTTGTTATGTGAGTAGGGGGTAACGAAACAAGTGAGCTGAAAGAAGGTAGCCAGAGAGTGAGACTCTTGAAATCAGTATATCAACATGGTGTAATTATTGATGGTGACATAGTCTAGAATATGACCATGGAAATGGGTGGCTAAGGTAAGGTAGAATAAAAGATCACGAGAGGCAAGGAGGTCACAGATCTAAGAGGTCATAGTATTTATCTGCATATGAATTATTCATCTATTTCTGCAATAGTGCTGTATCATAAACCACCACAAAACTCTATGACATGCAACAGCGGACATTTAGTGTGACATTCACAGGTCTGCAGATCAGCTGGCTAATCCCGGCTGGTCTCAGCTGCATAGCTTATTGGGTTTGGTTCCCATGTAATGCACACGGGTTTGTTCTGGGACCCAGGCTAAAGGGGCACTAACTACCTGGGGCATGTTCATCTCATGTAGATTACCGTGGTAAGAGCCAAGCCTAATCATGCAAGCACATTCCCCAGGTCCTCTAACATTACACTGGCCCAAGCAAGTCACATGGTACCAAACCCAATACCAATGGTTCAGGGATGTTTGCTCTGCCCACAGTGGGGGTGGGAAGAGAGTGAATATTTTCTGAACAATAATCCAAACTGTCATAACATAGATGTTGCAAACACCAGGATGGGGCCATGAGTGACGGGGAAGAGGACAGCAAACCAGACACTAAGGTTGTCCAAGTATACACTGAATAAGTAGGACCTGTAGAGGCAATTAAGCACAGTCTTCCTTCCCACACAGCCCATGCAAACATGTTTTGTGGAGCTGGATCTTTCCCCTATCCCTTTATGAAATCTAAGATACAAATTTTTCAGTTATTATTAGATAACGAAGTCCTCTGTTTGTTTTAATTGCAAGAAGTCTGATTTTTAGTTATTAATATGTACAATCTCATGTCATAATCAAAACTCCCCATTTTATTCAAAATTCAAGTTTCTCTCCTTCCCAGTTTAGACCTGCTGAAGATGGAAAAGAGTAGTGGGGTTGCCTTCCCTAGTTCCCTGCCTACTCCCCACACTCAGCAGTTTGCTCCTGGCTTATTGAGAATGGAAGTGGTAGCAAGGGGCAAAGGAGGATGTGGAGGCAGGCAAGACCTTATTTGACCTGCACCAGTGAAACTGGCATTGGCTTTCTCTAATGTTTAAACATCTGGTGAATATTTAAAGCCAACGAGTATTGGCAGTTGCCTCTTTCAGGAACACATTAGTGGTTTCTTCAGAGACATTTGCCTCCTCCTCTTATTTCCTGTCACTTCCAGTCTCTTTATGGAAAACTGTTCTTCCTTCAGCTATGCTTACAAGTGCCCTCTAAGCACCAGCCTTGGTTTCCCCAAAGACTCCAGGGACATAGAAAAGCTCTTTGTGTCATTCTCTTGAAGCTAGTCCCACCAAGTTAAGGAGAGGGGACTCCCTCCCATCTTTCTCCATGGAGAAGGTTAAGACTCAAGGTACACTAACAATTCTCTCCAAAGAGATGCCCCCTCTAGTATACCATTTCCTTCTTGGAGCTGGATATCCTCTCAGGGCTGCAAACCTGGTTCTCGATCCTTCTCTGCATCTCCTGCTTGGGAATCAAGCACCTTAAACTGCTATGCAGGGCAAGTACATGTCTTGGATCTTCAGTGTGAACGGAGGCTAAGAGTGTCTCATTTTAATGCTCTGCTGCACGTGAGTGTAAGAAAGTAACTGAGAAGTCACAGATGGCAGAGTGAGTGGAGATAAGATTTTCATTCTGTAGAAGCAGGACCCTAGAAGAGAAAGAACTCTCTCCTTCAGAACTCTTTTCCCCAGATTTATAGTATTGGATTCCTGAAGAAGGAATCAGAAAAGAACTACATGAGGTTACAGCTTACCTGCTGGTATTAGAAAATGTAGAATGCAATTTTGTGGTTGGTCACTAAAAGATTCACTAAGATCTGAGCTGTGTCTTACTCAGAGTAAGAACTACGATGAAAGCCTTGAGCTGTGAGAGGGTGAAGACAAAGACCCCGCTGGCCACTATGAGGAGAAGAGGAAAATCTGAGACTGTAAAACAAGACAAAGCCATGGGAGACTTGAATTTTAAATCATTCAGATTACATTTGCAAGAACAGATATGATATCTTCTTTGTCTTTGAACCTTCAGTACGTAGGTCAGTGCCTGACCCCCAGTAAGTGCTGAAAAGATGTGCAATTGAATTGAATAGGATATATAGTATATAGTAAATACATACTGAATTGAATTGAACACACAGGATGCAATAAATACAATACATAATAAGAAAGTAAAAGCTCAAGGTGGTATTTCATAAAGTGTTTGTCTGATGAACAGCTATGCTTGCTCATTTTCTGACAGGATTATTGTTTATGTAGTTTCTCCTTTTGCCCTGGCTGCCAGTTAGTTGAGACAACTGCCTCAACTAATTATTTTAGCTCTCAGGCAATTCTGTATATTTGCATGCTTCTCTTTTTGAAGAGTCTCAATATTTCTTTCTATTTTATTAATCTTATAATGTTGCCTAATATAATTTTGGAAATGACACAGAGTACATTTCTGTACTATGCTCCTTGTTCTACAGTGAACATCAAGGGCCTCATCAATCACCAGTTCCTGGCATTGAGGTGGCCATTTCAGGACAAAGGCAAAGCAACAGGAGACAGAGGTTGATTATTTCTGAGAAAACTATCCTGTGCTCTGCTGGAAATTGGTCCCTTGCAACCCCAAGCACGAGGTGTCCTGAGAGGTTAACAAATGGTTCCCCTTTTAGAAAAACCCCAAAGGCAGAAGAACCACAGGGAGACAAATAGAACCTGAGCTAACACAGGGTTATGCTGTCAGCATGAACACTGGCTGCCCCAGGAAAGGAGGGAGGGAGACACAGAACATGTGGAAAAACAATAGCAAGAGTGGCAGCAGAGTGGCACTAGCATGCAAAGGAAAAGGAGGGGAGAAGAAGAGGGAAGGGGAAGGTAGAAAGAATGAACATTGCTTACCTACTATTAATTCATTGCACAAATATTTATTAAATGCCTTATTTGTGCCAGAAACTGAGGCTACGATCATGAACAAGATAGAAGGGTTTTCTGCTCTCATGCAGTGTACATTCTAGCTGGGGGGGGAAAAAAGACATCTAACAAGTTACTGCACATGTGATGACTGCTAAGAGGGAATATATATTGCCATTTTAGTGAATAGTGAGGGATCTACTCTAACTCAGTGAATTGAAGAAGATCTGTAAAAAAGACCAAAGGATGATCAGGAATTCGGTGGAGGAAGAGTAGGAGAACACGCTCTAGGCAGAGAACAGCAGGAAGGCAGCAGAAAGGGAGAGACGATGGGAGGGGTGGTTGGGCAGGAGGCAGGAATGTCCCAGGATGAAGCAGGTCAGGATAGGGATGTACAACTACCCTAAAAGCAACTGGAGGCTATTAAAGGCCTTGAGCAGAGTAATGACATGGTCTATTATCAAAAGATCACTCAGATCCTTTTGTGAAGAATGAACTCAAATGGGTAGATGTGGAAGTAGGGAGACCAGTGAGGTTGCGCACCTTATCAAGCCTGGTGTTCCCCTTATCAAGCCTGCTGGATCAGAAGAGGGTTGTGGCAGTGAGGACAGAGAGAGGTGGTCAGATTCAGGATGTGGGCAGGCAGAATCAGTAAGGATTGGTTATTCATTGCATGAGAGGGTGAGTGCGAGAGATGAATCAAGAATGATTCTCAGGCCTGGCACAGTGGCTCACGCCTGTAATCCCAGCACTTTGGGAGGCCAAAGCGGGAGGATCACTTGTGGTCAGGAGTTCAAGATCAGTCTGGCAAACATGGTGAAACCCCATCTCTACTAAAAATACAATAAGTAGCTGAGTGTGGTGGCGGGCGCCTGTAATCCCAGCTACTCGGGAGACTGAAGCAGGAGAATCGCTTGAACCTGGGAGGTGGAGGTTGCAGTGAACCCAGATTGCACCACTGCACTCCAGTCTGGGTGACAGAGTGAGAGGTTGTCTGTCATCTGAAAATAAAAAAAAAATAAAAATAAAAATTAAAAAAAAGGAAAGAAGAAGAAGCAGAAGAAGAAGGATTCTCAGATTTCTAGTCTAAGGCCCAGAGAGAAGGGTGAGTTCATCTTCTTAGAAAGAGAACCTTGAAGGAGAAGGAGGTTCAGGGCAACAGGAGAGAGGGAGACCACGAGTTCAATTTCATACAAGCTGAGCTTGAGGACTCTGTGACCAGTCAAGTGGACACTAGGTAAAGTTGAATATATGGATTTGTATCTCAAAGGAAATTCTGGGCTTGAGATATAATTTGGGGAATTGTTGGACCATAGGAAATACATTAAAGACTTAAGACTGAATGAGTTCACCAAGGGAGTGTAGCTTGAAAAGGGTCTAAACAAAGCCCTGAGAGTCTCCATCTCCAATTTTTTTTTTTTTTTTTTTGAGACAGAGTGTTGCTCTGTCACCCAGGCTGGCGTGCAGTGGTGCAATCTCAGCTCACTGCAACCTCCGCCTCCCAGGTTCAAGCAATTCTCCTGCCTCAGCCTCCCAAGTAGCTGGGATTACAGGCACCCACCACCACCACGCTGGGCTAATTTTTGTATTTTTAGTAGAGACGGGGTTTCACTGTGCTGGCCAGGCTGGTCTCAAACTCCTGACCTCGTGATCCTCCTGCCTCAGTGCTGGGATTACAGGAGTGAGCCACTGCACCTGGCCAAAAGTCTTCAACTTTTAATGGCTGGGGAAAGGTGGCAAAGGACACTGAAAAGTAGTTGCCAGAAAGATTTCCATTGACGTTTTGGTCAGGAAAAGAGACACCACTTTAGTATTTTTAATGTTTTTAGAGATAGGGTCTCACTCTGTTACCCAGGCTGGAGTGCAATGGTGTGATCATGGCTCACTGCATCCTTGACTTCCTGAGCTCAAATGATGCTCCCACCACAGCCTCCTGAGTAGCTGGGACGACAGGTGCATGACACCATGCCTGGCTATTTTTTTTATTTTTATTTTTCTGTGGAAATGGGATCTTGCTATGTTTCCTAGACTGGTCATGAACTCCTGGGCTCAAGCAATTCAGCCTCCCAGGCCTCCCAAAGTTCTAGGATTACAGGCGTGAGCCACAGCGCCTGGCCTAGGTATTTTTAAATAGAATGGTATTTATACAGGAAGTTTATTCACAAATCCACTGGAAAATACAGAGAGCAGAGAACGCTGCTCTCAGATTTACTGCTAACTTCCAGAAAATTAAAAAATTGCAAGAAATTGCAAAAACTTTCAGTGATCACACCTACCTGCTACTTGGAGATAGTGATTTGCAAGAGAATGCTGGAGGTGGCTATAAACCTCCCATGTGCCTATTGTTGGAGGAGAAGTAATAACATCTGCTTCTCTTCTGCCTCCCAAAGCTCACACAAATGCCTCTCATTAGTGGACCTAAAGCAGGAACCTGCTGGCAAGGGATGCTGGGAAATTAATTACCCAGAAGGGAGAGCATGAAAAGGATGGGGTTGTATGCCGAACAAAAACCGATAACAATAATGATAATAAAAACGCCATCCAGCAAAGGTAGGAAAGGCCGTGTCTCCAGTGCTCAGGAGAGGGTGCTTCGGTGAGTGGACTTTGCTCCTCTGGCCTTCCTAATTTTTCATAAATGTCTCCTTGTTAAGCCCCTTACCACTTGTAATACCAAAAGTGATTCCTATCTTTCTGACAAAACTGCTCCTCTGGCAACTATTTTTCCATTTGACTTGCAGCTTTTTCTTCTTCTACACAACATTGTTTTTCAGAAGAAGCAAGGAAGAATGAGATAAATAACTCACCAAGGGTTAAAAAGCTGGTAGTAGGCTAGGTGTGGGGGCTCATACCTGTAATCCCAGCACTTTGGGAGGCCAAGGCAGGAGGATCGTTTGAGGCCAGGAGTTTAAAACCAGTTAGGGCAATATTGCAAAATCCCATCTCTACAAAAAAAATCTTTAAAAATTAGCTAGTTGTGGTGGTGTGCACCTATAGTCCTAATTACTCAGGAGGCTGAGGTAGGAGGATAGCTTAAGACCAGGAGTTGGAGGCTGCAGTAAAGTATGATCACCACTGCACTCCAGGCTGGGTGACAGAGTGACACCCTGTCTCTAAAGCAAAAACACAAACCAAAAGCTGCTGGTAGCAAAGTTAACATTTTAATCCAGATTTATCTCAATCCAAATCTGATGTTCTTTCCATTATACTAATTTTTGTACACAGAGTACAGAAAAGAAAGTCTATTCAAGGAGAAAAGGTGGAAAAAAAGAGACAACAGCATCCTGAAAACAGAAAGTTGGGAAAGAAGAAAGATGGCAATCCTGTCTTTTCTCTCCGCCCCACCAAACGTGCCTCTTGTTTTCACTCTTGTTTGATGGCACTGTGATCCCCTAGCATTTAATTAGCAACCTCAGTGCATTCTCCCTCTTCTCAAACCTTCCCTGCCTCTCACTCCCTATTGTCCTCAGGGCTTTGTATTTCCTTATCTGAATGATTGCAAATTCTCTCCTTCCTTTCAGTCCTGCTCCCATCTAATTCATTCTTCTCACTGCTGCCAGAGTGATCTTTCCCAAGCAGAAAACGGACTCCTTCTCTCATCCTTCAGAAGGGTCTTATTGCCTTTCGTATAAAGTTAAAACTTAGTGTGTTCGAGTCTCTCCTGGGCCTACCTCTCCATACACAAGTCACACCATTCCTCTGCACATGCCATGGGTCAACGAGGCCAACTTACTTGCTATTCATGTACAGGTCAAAATTTCTTTGACTCCAAACCTCTACTACCCATGTTGTTCCTTCTGCCTGGAATGTCCTTGTTTCTCCCTTGCCAGGTTGGTCCTTATTCCTCCTTTCTTCAGTGCTCTGCCGGGGAAGCTTTCCTGACTTCTCAGGCCATGTAAGGTGTCTCTCTTCTCTCCATTAGCACCTCTTGCTCACCCCTATTAGAGCACTCACCACACTGTGTTACAACTGCTGGGTAGCTTTTATTAAATATGTTTTTCCACCAAACTGAGCCTTTTAAGGGCAAGGAACTATTTGCTTCCCCTGCAATAGGTATTTTTTATATATTCAATATTTAAATAGTGGTTGAATGAGGGTATGAATGAATGAAGCTGTTTATGAGGTTTGTGCAATATGCAGAGGATATCTGTTGCTGCTACTGTAAGAGGTGATTGTCTATTCAGTGAGTGAAATCAATAAGGATAACATGGCAAATACAAAAAGAAGTTGACCGAAGGCCAAGAGGCTAAATAATTGGACTGAAACACAGACTTGTTAGCCTTGGCCATCAATCAGTTACTAACTCCCCAAGTGATGAGAATTGCCAACAGCTCAGTTTACATTCATGTAGCCTATTTGTGGTGATATGATGAGCTACATATGTTTGCTTTGAGTACTTAGCAAATCTGTTCTGATTTTGTCCATGTGGTATAAATTGAATTATTGCGAAATGATCCAATTTGTTAAAATTCCAAAGTTTAAATCTCCTACTACATATTAAAATTAGAAATCATTAAATTCAGGTACATCCTATCAACCAACTGGTGGCTACAAGCTAGTCAAGAATGGGCTGTTCTTGAAGGTGGTTCCTTGCTTCACTACTGAGTGCTTAGAGAAGTAGGTAGGGAGGAGGTTTTGTATCTGAATTCATATCTGAATAATAATAGCTGCATTTATTGAGGCTTTCTAGTTACCAGTAAGCTAAATCCTTTCCATTAATTATCTCACGAACCGTTTACACTAATCCCATGGGATATGTGTTATTATCCTATAGGAGGAAAATGAGGCTTTGAGGGGTTAAACCAATTTCCTAAAGTCATGGAGACATAAGGGGTAAAGCTATGTATGATTCCCAGTCTCTCTGACTTTCAAGCCTATCCTTTTGACCACTAATTTGCTATACTCTCCTGACTCTCTAAAGAGAGAAATTACTCATCAAGGGTCTCTATAGTGGGCAGCAGAGATGTTTTGCTAAGAGTAAAAGAAAGCCTGATACAAGGATATACTGATGTGGCATGATTTCCACCATAGTGAAGTCATCTAATGAGAAAAGGATTTTGTTTGGACTAGCAAAGTCAGACTCATCCTGTAACTTTCAGCTCAAAGGGCCCCTCCACCATGGGTGGAGTTGTCCTCAACAAACAAAACAAACTTAGCACAGCTCAAATTGCAAACCAACTTATTATTTCCATGTTTGCTTGCTTTCTGTGTAAACAACTCATAGACAGACTGCATAGACAGTCCCTGAGCTGTCTTTTCAGAGCCATAGATCATGCCAATTTAGAAAACTCGAAGTCACCCAAACTCTTAAATTAGTTATAACCTAATTTTAACAAGGAAGAAAAGTTCTGCTGGATCCCATGCCTCCCTGATGTATACTAGAAAAGTCCTTCTGTCATATTAGTTGGCACAGGGATAGTGCACTTAAACTGTTTAATGTTACAACCACAGTTTTCATCCCTATAGACTAAATTCTGGAGAGAAATAAATGAATGCTAAATACCTGCTGTCAGTTCTGGCACTCGAGGCTGGAAGTTAGTCTGTTTCCCATAAGGAATAGAAATAAAAACAAGCCACTTAGACAGTTTTGGCTTTCATACAGACTTATGAGCACATGCACACACACACACACACACACACACACACACACACACATACACTCTCTGTCTCTGTCTCTCTCTCTCTCACACACACACACACACACACACACACTCAACACCATGATTCCTAAATGGAACAGGTTCACATTTAGACTGAAAATCTGATCAAAGCAGAAAAAAGGCAATCTGAGTCTCTAGGACTTTGCTTTATTTAATGTAATTTTTATCTCTTTTGCTTGTACTACATCCAGCAGGAAATACTAATATACACAGTGCCATAAGCATCACTATTTGTGAGGTCCTTTCCCTCCAGTTGAAAAAAAATGAACCTTCTCTCATATATATATACTTAGAGACAGGGTCTCACTCCTCTCCCTGTCACCCAGGCTGGGGTGCATCATAATTCACTGCAGCCTTGAATTCCTGGGCTCAAGTGATCCTCCCACTTCAGCCTTCCACGTAGCTGGAACTATACGCATGCACCACCACACCCGGCTATTTTTTTTTTTTCTTTTGTAGAGATGTGGTCTTGCTCTGTTGCCCAGGCTGGTCTTAAACTTGAAATAAGTGTTGGCCCAGGATCAATATCTTTTTTTTTTTAAGTAAGTTAAATCATCCAGTTACCACATCATGTAGCAATTGTTCAGTCTTTGGAGTCTTTGCTATAGTGACCACTTAAAAAATATAATTTTCTTAGTACAAGAAAGTTTTACTAAAACTTTAGTAAAGTTTTAGTACCTGGCCACAGAGTAAGAAAGTACCTGGCACAAAGTACCAGCACAAAGTACCAGCACAAAGTAGGCATTCAATAAATGTTCATGAATGAATGAATGAATATACGAACAAAAGAGAAAGAATGGTCAACTATAAAGAGAAAGATGACAGATTTAAGAAAAATACAATAATGTTACTACAGACTTCTATTGGCTGGAAGGCAAACAAGGGAGTCACATGAACAGGATCATTACAGATTTGCCACAAATTTGCAAAGATTTATGGGA
Organism: Homo sapiens; assembly: GCF_000001405.40. Classification (NCBI taxonomy): domain Eukaryota; kingdom Metazoa; phylum Chordata; class Mammalia; order Primates; family Hominidae; genus Homo; species Homo sapiens. The sequence continues at coordinate 48,211 of NW_017852928.1, forward strand.
AATGTCATTTGGCTTTTCTAGGTCTTTCTATAATTTGGGAAGGGTATTTATCACCTTATTCCTCACAAGAATGCTATAAATCATCGTGTAATTTTGTATGTTTTTCATTGCAATCTATAACTTAAAGCTCACAGCAAAAAAAATTCAGCTCCTGGGGAATAGCAACCCTAGAGGGGCCTTTTGTATCTTGGACACCAGACCAAAGATCCCAACTACAAACTCAGTCTCCACAGGTACCCAGGACCTTCTGGATGTCAGTAAGGAAGACCAGCCCAATACAGAGCCCTAGGTATCTCCCTGAAAGATGAGAGTCTCAAAACTGGACTGGCCTTGGGCTCTAAGCCTAGAAGGTCAATATTTCATGGTTTCTAATTGCAAGAATGATTCTAGGGCACAATCTCATCTCTGGATGAGATTCTCCAACTGTAATGTGAATTGTCTAGGATAATCTGGCAATCTTGTTACAATGCACATTTAGAACCAGTAGGTCTAGGGTAAGGCCTGACACTCTGCTTTGCTAATAAGCACCCAGATGATGAGAATGCTGCTGGTCTGTGGAGGCGCCAACTTGGAGTAGCGAGTCTGGAGTCTCTGGAGCCCAACAGTGCCTCAGAATAGCAATCACAGAGCACCGCATGGGCTCAGATGAGAGGGAGTCTTTGGAAATACTTCCTGTCTTAGTATTAGCCTCTCAAAGCACAGTCTCTGGACCCCAACAGACAAGAATTGGAATCTAGATACTGCCACACCAGGAGCTTTGTGATCTTGAGTCAATTGTCCTTTGGCTCTCAGTTTCTCCATCTGTAAAATGGGGCTGATCATACCTATTAGAACTGTTGTGAAGATTAAATCCAGGCAAACAGACCTACATTTGAAATCCAACTCTTCCTTTAGCTCTCACTAGCTATGAGGTATTAGGAAAAGCATTCAAGCTCACCAAGCCTCAGTTTTCTCATCTGGAAAGGCAAGATACTAATAATTAACTCACAAGGTTGTTTTCAAGATTCAATGAAATAACTCAGTGTTCTCAATGTGGGACACATTCCTGAGGTTCACACTTCTTTTAAAACATTATCGAAGGCAGTTGTTAAGAGAAAAGATGTTATAAAGCTAAAATATTCAGATAAAGTATTTGGAGAAAGCAGAATTTTATCTGAAGCTTGAAAAACTATTAGGATCTGCAGAATGGGTGAGAATGTTGCCTTTTTATAAGCAAGTCAGAGCTCAGAATATAATTCTCTCCATTCTTTACTTGACTAATTGTTAGTCACTCCTTGTTCTCTGTTTAGATGTCATTAACTCAGGGAAATCTTTTCAGCCCTTCAGGCCAGGCTATTTCCTAAACTACGTGTTATTACCATATTCAGTACTTGGCACCATATTCCTCCCTCACCAATCTCTGAGGCCTATAAGGCAGGGACTCTGTCTGCCTTGTTCCCTGTTGTATCCCTAGACCTAGCACAGCATCCAACAATATCTTAGGCATTCTGTTAATATTTTTTGCATAACCGCATGAAATAGAATTCAGAATTCAAGTGGTCAGATTTCAAATATGTTTGAAATGAGATATAATTTTCTTCTACAAAGTATACATAAAAGATCATAATTTCTACTTTCAATTCAACAACAGAAATTACATAACACCGGTCCTTTAGACCTTATAGGAGATGGAAGGACATAGGCATGAATAAATCACAGGCTTGTGGAGCTCCCAAAATAGCAGAAAGATTAATACATCAACAACATCGGTGGTGGGATAAGCATATGATTAGGGTGTATATGAAGTGCTTTGAGAGCACAGATACAGGAGCAATTCCTTCTTCTGGAGAGAAGTTGAAGGAAGCAGGGAAAGTTGCAAAGAAGACAGTTGAGCTGGACTTTGAAGGATGAGCTGCAATTGGCTCAGTGAACATGGAGATGAAACAGCATTGATTTCATTTTAAGAGTGCCTCCAGAGCACAAATTCTGAAGCCGGGCTCTGCAACTTACTCTTCCTGGACCCTTAGGCAACTTAGTTGCCCTCTCTCTGCCACTTCAGTTTTCTCATCTGAAAATGGGACTAACAACAGAATGTATTCTGTTAGGTCCCTTATGAGGATTTCATACATTAATCTAGGCTAAGTGCTCAGAGTAGTGCTGGGCACCCAGTAAAGGTTATATAAATGTTAGTTGTTGTTGCCGCCGCTGCTGCTGTTGTTACCATTATACTTAGTTGTAGCCAAAACTATTTTCATCTGCTAATCAAAATGTGGCTTTATACCCATAATGGGTTTCAGTCCACCTGTATGCCTGAGCACACCAGTGGAAAACCACTGCTCTAAAAAGAATGGAAGGGAGACAACGGTGAACAGGGACAGATGCATTAGATATTAACTGACTGTAATCCAGGTGAAAAATGGTGTCTTCCTATGTAGTGAAAATAGAACACAGCCCAGGCCAGAGCTTTGAGGTGTTATATTGGGAAGTGCTGGTTTAGTACTACTTACCAGAAGAGAGGTCTAAAATCTGTCTTGCATATTTCAGCACGAGTACCAATCAAGTGAGTACTCTTCCTAAGAACAGCTCCTTTTTATTTGCTATTTTTTGCCTCACAACCTTTAAAGCAGGAAGATGGCTTAACAGGTCAAAGAAACATCATTCATTCTGTATACATTGCTCTGGAGTAAACTCCTCTATCAATATTTCATGAAACAGACTCCCCAGAATGGGAGTGCAGACTGAAGGTCAGAGACGGTCAGTCACGGCTGATGTTGGAAGGCTTGGCTGAAACTCATTGATGTCACATTCAGAGGCTGTCTACAGCCAAGACAAAGGATGCTACATCCTAGAGAAGGGGTTTAAAGAGAAGATTCTACAGAGACAACTACTTTACAAACAAACAAAGGGCCCTACATTGTCTTACATTCATGACATGATTCCGTTCCCCACTCCAGACGGTGTTCCTATTTTTACTCAGCTCCCGGTATTCTTTCTGTTTCCACCCAATTAATTGTCAGATGATTCGCAGTCATGAGACGATTTGGTCACATAATGAGATGGTCCGTGATTGCTGCATACTTCCTCCCTTCTCCCAAAATTGTACCAACATGACAGAATAATTTTGGTGAAAATCTTAGAATGCATGACCACTTCTGTCTCAGCAGCAGTTGTTTTCTGTCTTTTCTGGAACAAAAACAGTAGAAGCCCCACTAGCTGTAAAATGCAGAATGGCCAGTTATCTGTCCCAACCTTCTCCAGGGCATTATCAGGAGCTCCTGAGTGACGAGCCATGTTCAGTTAGCTTCCTATGCACAGCTGTTAGCACAGTGCCTCACAAATACATACATTTTTCATATTATTAGATGATGATTACAACCCTTTGTTAAGACTTTTTAAAGAAAAGCTTTATCGTATCTCAAATGCCTAAAACCTCTTGTGTCAAGTTTGCTTTATTAATAATTTAGAGATGCTCTTTCTTTTTTTTTATTATACTTTAAGTTCTAGGGTACATGTGCACAATGTGCAGTTTTGTTACATATGTATACATGTGCCATGTTGGTGTGCTGCACCCATTAACTCGTCATTTACATTAGGTGTATCTCCTAATGCTATCCCTCCCTCCTCCCCTCACCCCACCACAGGCCCCGGTGTGTGATGTTCCCCTTCCTGTGTCCAGGTGTTCTCATTGTGGAGCCGCTCTTTCTATGTCCTGCCCAGGCAGAGGCCTTCCCAAAAGCTCTAGAGCAGTAGTTCTCAAAATGTGACCCTGGACTCGCAGCATCAGTGTCACCTGGGAGCTTGTTAGGTATGCAAATTCTCCAACCCCACCCCAGCATTACTGAATCAGCAATTCTGGGACGGGGTCCAGCAATCTGTGTTTTAACAACACTCCAGGTAATTCTGGTGCACACTGAAGTTTGAGAACCATTGATCCAGATGTATGAAAACTCATTTTCCAAGTTAACACTGAGTTCCAAAAGGTTTATATCAAAGTACTCCTTTTGTTGAATCTTCCTCTGTATGTCAAATTACCTGTTTACAATCCTCCGGGGGTCCCCTCTTGCCTTCATGACAAAAAACAAATTGCTTAGCTTGGTCTACAGAGAACTTACAAGCCAGCCCCTACCCAGCCCCGCCTCCCTACCGCATACACCATGCTCCACACCCACAGTGCACATTGCCCACTTTGTGTTATGCATATGCTGGGTCCTTTCCCTGGAATATAATACTTTTTCCCTCCTTTGCCTGGTAGACCTCTCTCCTTGAAGACAAAGTGTTGATATCAACTCCACCTTCAAGTCTCTCAAGCAGAACTAGATGCTGTTTCTTCAATGTTTCCACATCTTCTTGTTCACATGTGTCTAAGGTACCCATTGAATTATTTTATAATTTCTATGGCCATATCTTCTAGGATAAACAAAATTCATGTCAGAGGCTGCATCTTTTTGGTCTTTAGTAGTTCCAGGGTTAAGCTTAATGTCCGACCCTATCAGATCTTTGCCATGTTTATTAAATAATTGCTCAATGCCAATTTCACATTCACAGGAAAAAAATCCAGACATGTATACATTCTACACTAAGACAAATACAAACTAAGGTTAAGAAGAGAGTTCATATAATTAAATCCTTGTTACATGGTGCTAAAAGCCTATGTGAACAGAGATTTAACAGTAGAAAAAGCAAGTGCTTCCAAATCTGAAAATGTGAGCCTCAATTTCACTGCTTGTGGCTGTTTAAACTTGAGCAAGTGAGTCGCTGGGCCTCAGTTTCCTCATCTGTAGAATGGAATGGAATAATATCTGCCCTGTTTACCTCACAACTGGTGGTTGTGATAACATGAGATGCTGTGTGCCATAAAATAGATTATTAATGTATCATGTCCTGTCTGTCTACAGCTTGATCTTATTATCATCAGATATTAAACATTACCTAAAACACTAAAGTACAGTGAAATAAAAAGGTTTCATTCCATTCACTAAACATATGGGGCACTGGGATAGAAGAAAGAAAGAAGGGAAAAAAGTTCACCAGTTGAGCAACACTCCTTTGAATTTAACATAGCAGAGGGGTCTCAATGCAAGAAAATTTCCTATGGATTCTTGCTCTACAGAGTCATTGTGGGTTTTTTCTGTCCACCTCTCCACTCCCACCCTCCAAACATCCACCAAGCGCTGATTTCTGAAGGTGAAAGCAACAAGGAGGGCTTTATATTGTGTTTTCCTTTCCCACCTCCCTTTACATATTCTTTCTTTCCATGCTGCCCCTTTAGGAAGGCAGGGGTGGTCTGCCATTGGGCTTATCATCAGTCTCCCAAGAGCCCCGTGGTATACAATTATGCCAAGCTTCGGATTGCTTGCAGTAGAGTTGTCAGGTTACTTTCAACTCCAGGCTTTTGGCACAGGGAAGGCATTTGGCTGGACCAGGCAGGGGCTTTAACTCGCAGCCTGCTCTGCCAAGTACAGTTGATGCTTCAGGCAAGAGGAAAGGAATTTGAAGTTTACTCTGGCTCCAGAAATTCTGCTTAAGGAACATCAGCAGTTAATAAAATTTAGTCATTTTTTAAACTAAGCTTACTGCTTTTTGTGTGCTAATCTGTAATCTCCTCTTTTGGGCAATATTTCAGCCTGCTTTGACAGCCCTGTTCAGACTCCATTAATCATAGAATGTGATGACTTCCCTACTTTTCGATTTTTAAGATGCTTCAAGGGAAATCTGTCTCCCCAGACACTTGCGTACTACATTGTAAGCCATTTTTACTATGAAGAAGATTGTAAGCTCAATTACGGGCTTTACTGCGCTGATAACGAACACAGATATGAGACAAGCAGACTTGAGCTCCTGCCTCGAGGATGGTGAGCAAAGAGCCTAAGCAAAACTGAGAGGAAATGAAACACAAAGAGGAAACAGAAAGGTGAGAAAATAGAGGGTGGGAGGGCAGGCAAGTGATTCATGGGGCCACCATAAAAGGGATATGTTAAGTGACCAAAGCAAAACCTCTAGAAAGGGCTCAAATACATAAGATAGAGATCACATGGGGCTGTTCTGTCAAATATAGGGTGAGTGATGGGAAAGAAAATAACTTGTTAAGGGAAGTTTCTAAACTGAGAAAATTTTGTGAGGTTTGAATATCTGTGAGACCAGTTTCGATCTAGAACCAAGAAGTAGATCCAAGACCTCCACAAAATGTATGTCTCTTCCCTGAGGAGAATGGGTTAAAATAGCCCAGACTAGGTACAGAAATAAGGAGAAAATAGCAGTCCTGGAAGACCTAATTGGCCTATTAACTTTTTTTTTATTTTCTTTTTTCTTTCTTTCTTTCTTTCTTTTTTTTTTTTTTTTTGAGACAGGGTCTCTCTTTGTCACGCAGGTTGGAGTGCAGTGGTATGATCACTGACTGCAGGCTTGATCTCCTGGGCTCAAATGATTCTCCCACCTCAGCCTCCTGAGTAGCCAGGACTTCAGGCATGCATCACCACATCTGGCTAATTTTTGTATTTTTTGTAGAGATGGGATTTTGCCATGTTGTCCGGGCTGGTCTTGAACTGCTGAGCTCAAGCAATCTGCTTGCCTCGGCCTCCTAAAGTGCTGGGATTACAGGCATGAGCCACCAGGCCCAGTCTAAGGCCTAATAAGTTATGCTACCAAAAATAAATTATATAAGATATTGTAATTTTATCCTTATACAGTACATAGTTTCTCCCATGAGCTCTCTCCACTATGCTATTGTTTTTATCCTTCTATAGTTGGATGATGTGTGTGTTCTACCACAGAGGACACTGGAGGGTGGGGGATCTCCAAAACAAGTGAGGGGAAGCCCCCTTTTCCTTTTCCACTGGATGATGAGTTCCTGGGGCCACAGGGATTTGAACCTCTTATAGTCACTTTCAGCTCTGAGCTCTCGCTTACACTGAAATACTTGTTTTAGAGATCATGATTGATCATCACATTGTGTGGTTCAAATTCCTCATCATATTGACCTGAATATTGAATTCAGCCTTTTCTTCTGATTTTCACCATTATCAACCAACAAACCAACAAAATGAAACAATTTCTGAGGTATTTATATGAATAGAAGACCTTCTCAAAGATTGGCAATGACAAGGTACACATCACATGTAACTTAAAATTCCATGATTGATATCCCCATTCCTAAAAATATCATGGTCACTTCTCAGATGTGGACTGTAGTCTTCCACCATATTCTTTGAACTTTTCCTTCTTTTCTCTTTTTCCTACACTTCAAACTTTCTGTTGATTTCGAATGCAGAGACAGTTGATGATCTCTTCTGTTACGCTTTCTCTTACCAATCCATGCTATCAGGGGCACATCTTCTGCCACAAGAAGCAAAGTACTGCCTTGCTATATGGAAGCTCAGATCACATACATAAGCCATTCCACATTTCCAGTGACAATTTCATTTCAAATCTCACTGACGGGCTATTTATTTGGTGACTACTGTGTACTGTGTGAACATGTACATCGATGTTCATATAAAATTCCTTATAATCAAAAAACTAGAAAACCTTATACTTCAGCCAGAGGGAAATAGGTAAATTCATTATGCTTTAGTCACTCAATGGAAAATTATATTCAGTAGGGATCACAAACTTTAACTCACTTTACAACTCGTATGTACAAATAACTCTAATGGCTTCATTCAGCCTCTCAATCCTCTAGTCTTACTATACTGACTAGTGGGGAAAAGATTAACTTACTCTTCGATCGATTTAAAGATTAGTCTGCAATCATAATTTAGGTAATATTCAGTCTTCTTAAATAAAAGTGTTAAATCTCTCACATAGTTCCCCTTCCCCTGCTTTTGTCATTAGAACGGCAGTGCGGTATATCAGGACATCCCGCATGACTTTTTGGCAGCAAAAAAGAGGAAGTGCTCGCAAGCATGGTAATGGCCTCCTCCTCTGGTCTCTGGAGTAAACCCCAAACTGCTCTGTCTTGCTAGCATCCACTGATGCAGGATACCACTACTTTAGCTCAATCTCATCTCTTGGCTCGGTGATCCTGAGCCTCCTTGACTAAATAGGCCTCGAGGCTTTGACTCAGCTTCTGATGGCCAACTACCCCTATGCAGTTGCCACAGACCCCATTCAGCCCTGGCCTACAGCCTGCCCATGGCTTTGCTGCCAAATTACCTTGACCCACCATTACAAACCCTATTACAGACTTGACGGCTTTTAACTCAGTATGAACACCTTAGGAATGGAGGGGTGTCTAGAAAATGACAACCAGACCTTTTTCTGGGTCTCATAGGACCACTCAGCTTCCCCTTCCTAATCACTAGGCTGCCCCACTGTGCACAGAAGTGTCCTCCCAGGGTTCCCAAATGAGAGTTGGAGGTGGGGAGTAAAAGCTTCCTGGAGGCTGTTTGCTCCCTCAACTTGTAAAATGCACAGTAAATTGGGGCCTACATTTAATTCTTTCACTTTCTTCCTTTCCCTCTCCTCTCTGTCCCACTTCCTCTGAGACAGAGAGTGAGTTTTTATTTTGCTTCCTTTTGTCATATACATACCCCTGCACCTGCTGAGCAACAGTCTCCATGCTTTGCTGTTAAAGACGGAATGAGCATCTTCTCTACACCAAAGAGAACTCTATGGTGGAGGTCATCCAGGCTTGGCTGTAATATGCAAGAGAGGGCAGTAGCCAAAGGAACGTAGCAAAGCCTTTCTCCTGCAGCTGGGATCCTATTTACATGTCAGAAACTAAATATTATCTCAGTCTTTCTCTTGATGTTACTCTCATGCCAAGCAGGAGGATAGAGCACTATATTTAGAGGCTACTAAATATCCATGTAGTCTCCCAATACGGAATAGAAAACTTTTGAACTCTTAAATTATCTTTGTCTGCATATTTATCTTCAACAACTGCTTAGCAAGCTAAAAAATCCTCAGAAGAAAAAAAAATCCATTTGAAGGGCTTGAAAAATACAACCTTTGAGTAAGAGGAAACTTTCTGCAGTCTATAAAGTCAAATCTCAGAATGGCAGTCCCTTTAACATGTGGTCTTCTATTCTTTATGTAAATGCCACCAAAACTCACTCCTTCACAAGACAACCCACCTTGTCTAGGGACAGCTCATGTTATCGGAAAGACCTTTCCTCTATTAGGGAGAAACCAACTGAGTTTTTTCCTCTACCTGGAATATCCACCTCCTCTGGTGTCCCCTCTCAGAATTCTACCTGTTTTTCCGGACGCATGTGAAATGCCACCACTTTAGTATGTCATGTCCCCAGTCACAGTGCACCTTAGGTTTATCACTGACAATCTCCCCCACCAGACCCCAGGCCCAGGAAGGCAGACCTCTCCCTTCTTCATTGAAGTTCCTCTTGTAATGAGCACATAGTAGGTGTTCAACTTTTGTTGCAATGAATGAGCTCCCTGTGTTCCAACTGCCTTCTGGGCCCTGGAATCATTTCTTAAGCAAACGGCTCAGCAATGGCAAAAAAGCAGGTAGCTGTAAGGCAGTGAGACATACCAATGGCAAAGATAAAGGGCATATGACAGACAGGAAAAGGGTGACACAGTTCTGTTCCTTGTAAAGTTAGGCGGCTCACTATGCATCTCTAAGCATGCAGGGCAAATGGAATGCTTTGCGACGGCAGCCTGCACACCGTGTGCTGTATTTAATGTTCTTCAGCTGTGTGACAGGACTGACAAAACTGATCCCACCTTCATCCTTATCTAATCATTTTATGGGGCATTAAGCTGCCTTTGCCTGAACGGTTACCAGCTGCAACAACACTCCAGGAAAGGACACAACCCTGCTTATGATAAAGCACATTACACTCATGGAACCCGTCTCTATGAATCTCCGATTCACAGTTTATATAATTTACCCTAGGCTCATCCTCCACCTTCCCTTTGGGGCGTGGACCTACACTCATTCAGCTGTAGGCAGTTGCCTATTGAAGGTGCCGTGCTGCACTAACACATTGTTAGGGTTTTAAAGTTGGTGAGACTTTTCCCTGTGGCAACACAACTTTCCCAGCCTCTAGGTTAAATGCAGACAGCTTACTGAGTGACTTTAAAGCTAAGTATCCCTGCTTTGTAAACTTCAATGACCACAGTTTTTATTATAAACAGTGGTTACCTTGATTGTGGGGTCAGCCTCCCTGTGGAAAGACACAGAACCCTCTGGTCACCTGAAGGCATTTCAAACATGTTTTTGCTTGAAAGGATCATCGCTGCGTGCCTGTCTTCATTCCTGCTCTCTTCTCCATGTGCTTTGCCTTGCTGCTGGTATGTGTTCATTCTGCAGCTGCTGGCAGCTGCAACTCAGGGCAGTAGGATTCCAGCAGGTGAGGAATGTATATTATGCAAGCCATGGCAACTAGAAACACCAACATCTCCTGCAACCCCTGAAAATGAATGGCACAGCTCTGCAACAAAGTCCATGTATTAGAACTTGCCTGTGTCCTAGGAGTGAGCTATTAGCCCTGACAGAGAAACAGACAGGGAGTGTGGTGAGGTGGGACCTGGAGCCAGCCTGAGTTTGGATCCTGGTTTGACCTGGAGTGAGTTATGGAAGCTCTCTGTTGTCTCAGTTTCCTCATCTGCAAAATGAAGGAAATATCTCAAAAGCTAGTTATGGAGACTAAATGAGTTAACGCAAATAAAGTACTTAGAATTGTGACTGGCACAGAATATGCCTTCAGGACACATGAGCTTGTCTGGAAGATGATCGCATCTGTACCCAAGTATTTAGTTATTATGGATAAGCCCATGATGTACAAAGTTCTAACTGCAGGGAAGACCTCTCCTAATGGAACATCTCCCCTTGGGTATCTCTAAAGCTCCTCAACCTCAGCATGTCCAACACCAAATTCATGATTGTCCCTTTCCAATCCAGGTCCTCTCCAATGCTCTTTTCCTCTAAGAACAGCACAACTATTCACCCTGGATAGCCTTCTCCTTCACCCTCAGCCTCCACATTCCCTACTTCGAGCTACCATCCAGGCTCCAACCAATGCCACAGCCAGCCCTTCCCACCTGGTCTCCCTCATCCTCTCACCCCTCTCCAATCTGTTCTCCATGCAGTGGCCAGAGTGGTGATCTGCTAAGTCACAGTGACAGTGTATCTCCTGTCACCAATACATACACACACACACACACACATGCACGGACACACTCCCTAAAATCCTTCAGCAGCTCCCACTGGCTCTTAGCATAAAAGCAAACTCCCTACAAAGCCCTTCATGTCCGGCACTGCTCACCCCATCAGCCTCATCTTGCACTGCTTTCTTCTTGCTCTTTGGGATCCAGCCATGTCAGCTTATTTCAGATCTTTAATACAACATGAGCCGTCCTTTGTACCTGCTGTTCCCCATCCCTTTGCCTAGATAAGTCCCGCTCATCTTCTGGGTTGCTTCACTGTCCCCCGGTTGGCTAATCTGCTTCTTTTGTCACCTGTGTAACAAATTCCCTGCATCACATTCTCTTTGCTTGAAAGGCTGAAAGTTTTCTGTTTTCCCGGTTTGGCCCCGAATGATGAGGTGAGGGGATGATGCCTGGGTACTGGTGGTCTCCACCGGAGACTGGGGAGGGGGACACGAGCTTTCCTGAGCCTCTGGCTAAAGTCAGGTTTCCTTTTTCATACATCCTCAAACAGCCTTCCCTTTGAAGCTGTGTCTGTAATGGCGATGCACTAGAGTGACTCTGAATAATGCCTGTCTTCCCAATAGACTAAAAACTCCAGGACAGCAAGGACTTAGCACAGTATCCAGCCCATGGTTAGGTGCTCAATAAGTATTTCTAGAATTCCTTAACCAATAGAAGATGTATGTCTGTTCAGTACTTCCCCATATATTGCTTCATTTAATCTTTATGCAGTCTTCATTTAATCTTTATCAAACCTTTAAGTTAAGTATGATTGTCCTATTTTAACATATGAAGACTCAAGGCTGAAGGACTAGACGATTTGTTCAAGACCATGCAGAGGGTAAATGGAAGAACTTAAATTCAAGTATTCCATTGGGAAGTCAAGCCTCTTCCCACAAAAGCTTTTGCCAGGTTCTCTTTAATTGTCTTTTAGCATTGTACAGAATCTTCAGTGAGAGAATTATTTCTACCTGCATTAAGATGCTGAACAGGTCTAAATTCGAGTCGTGGTGTACCTCAGATGGTTCACCCTTAGCCCTCCTTCTGACAGCTCTGCCTTGCTTGTACATCCTGGCCTGAGAGGGCAAGAGAGGGAAAGAGCTCTTGTCAAAGGGAGGGCTGGGCCTCTGTTAATCCTGACATAACTTCCCAACAGTCTGAGGTGCCACATGTGTTCCCCTCCCCAATCTCCAGTGGAGACCACCAGTACCCCGGCATCATCACCTCACTTCATCTCATCAGAGCCAAACCAGGAAAGCAGAAAACTTTCAGCCTTTCAAACAAAGGAAATGTGATGCAGGGAATTTGTTACACGGGTGACAAAAGAAGCAGATTAGCCAACTGGGAACAGTGAGGCAACCCAGAGGTTGGCAATAGTAGGAAGCCACTGCCACCCCTAGGCTATAAGCACAAGAAAGGAGGAGACTTACCAGAGACCAAGGGCCCAGGTGACATTGAACATGGAGGAGGAGAAATACCTGGTGTGGTAAGGAGGATAATCTCCCCCTCAAGACGTCCACATTCTAATCTCTGGCACCTGTGAATATGTTATCTTACACGGCAAAAGGGGCTTTTCAGATGTGATTAGGTTAAGGCTCTTCTGATGGGGAGCTTATCCCACATTTTTGGGGTAGGACCAATGTAATCACAAGTGTCCTTATAAGAGGGGAGGAAGGAGGGTCAGAATTAGAGAAGACAATGTGCAGAAGTTAGAGTGATGTGGTCACAAGCCAAGGAATGCAGACAGCCCCTAGGTGTTGGACAAGGAAAGGAAATGGGTTCTGCCCTAGAGCCTCCAGAAGGAATGCAGCTCTGCTGACACTCTTAGTCTCATAGGACTTATTTCAGATTTCTGACTGCCAAAACTATAAGATAATACATTTGTGTTGTTTAAGCCATTAAGTTTGTGGTAATTTGGTACAGCAACAATAGGAAATGGATCCATCCGGCTCACCCCTTCCTCCTGTACTTCAATCTTGCCACTAGCTGAACCCAACAGGAAGCTAAGTGGCAGAGAAGTGAGGGAAATACAGCCTGCAAAGAAGGACAAGGGAAGGACCTGGGGGCAAACATGCCCCCATGTATATAATGAAAACAAGGCTTATTCTCTTCTGATTCATTCAAATTCCGTTGCTTAATCATGGGAATCATGGAATGGCATTTGGTCAAGGAGTAATTTTCATGAGATGGTTTGGTAATTTTCTGGACTTCATTTTATTTTTCATTATTTTATGAGCATGTAAATCAAAACAGATGATATCACCTCATCTTTCTCAATGGCATCAGTAACAGAACAAAATCAAATGAAAGTGCTCCATAAAAATGAGCACTGCCCAAGTTATAGTGTGTGCGGGCTGCTGCCCACTACTCCCTTCTCTGAGTCATTCCCCGATGTGACTTGGCAGCCCAGCTCCATCAGCTCTGTGGTTGAAAAAAAATGGGTCATTGCACTGCGACAAAAGGACATTCATTGAAAATACAGCAATTAAGAAAAATTTGAGCTCCAATAGTCTCAAATGACCAAAGGAAGCTTGTACTTGCAGCGTGTGGGTGCCAGCAGCAGGCAGACCAACAAAGCAGCAGGAGTTCCACCAGCAGCCACCAGGGACACGTCTAAGAATTCTATCAAACAGAAGGAAGTGGCTGAACTCCACTGATGCAGGGGACAGGAGGCCTTGGAAAAGGCTGTTTTCAGCATTACTAGCATTTAATTGAAACATTCTGGAACCTGTAGTCCCAGGACCTAAAAATAGGGCATCACAACAAAAGACTCAACAATAACGTTTTTCCTTATGAAATTTTATTTTTGCTTAAATATAGGGGAATATATAGGACACTGTAAAGGCAAAGTCTCACTGGTTTCTCTCTCTCTCACACACACACACAGAATTGGAAGAGTTCATAAATAAAACAAATTAGCAAAAATGTTGATGGTTGTTGAAGCTGGATGATGGGTACATGAGTGTTCATTGTATTAATCTCTCCTACCTTTTGTTTTAAAATTTTTATTAAAAAGGGAAAATGTAAATGTTGATTTCATTGGATACATGTTTTCCCTAGTTAGTCTTCCTTTACACTGTTCATTTCATTGTCACTAGGCTTCACCATGTCTCTGTGTCGTGGGACCCAGCAGCATGCAGATATTGCCAAGTGTGCTCTGATTCTGTCTGTACTTATGTGGAAAGCAGAAGCCTGCTCTGGCAGAGGAAGGGCGGTGTCCAGGCAATAGGCATAGGAAATGAGTAGGCAGCAGGCTGAAGAGGGTGAAAAAAAACAGGGCAAGAGCAACCCCTCCACTGAAATGCACTGGGAAGGGGGACTTAGATACTAACACAAGTTCAATTCAAGAAGCATTTATTGAACCGTCCTCATGAGCCAGGTCAGGGTGTTCAGCACTGAGCGTGTCAAGACGAAGACACATAGCCTCTAAGTGTCCACCATCTACAATAGCTAATGTTTAATTGTCCTTAAAAGTTGAAGAATGTTGACTGGATTGTCTGCAAATCAGTCATGTGAGTAGTGTTAATCTAATGAAGAAGAATCTTAAAAGACAAATTCTCCAAATGCTGCTGCTCCTGCATCCTGCTGCTCTACCTGCTGTGGGGAGGAGGTGAGTGGATGATACCCAGCTTCCTTTCGTGGCAACAACACTTAAAAAGTAAGGTGAGACTTTGCTTTTCTAGAGAGTACTGAGATGGTCAAGATATGCACTGTTGATGGGCTAATTTTCAGTGTTCATAGCACAGCACATAATGCCAAAGTGGAACACAGTGAGAAAGAGATTCATGCCAATCCCTTTTGGGAACAAATGTCTGAAAAATCACAAGGGTCACTGGCTCTGGTCTCGCTTGGTTCTGTCACTGTGGGGAATGGGGGATGGAGGAGTGAGGAAATACGCCAGGATTGATAATGGTCAGTGAAATGCCTTGCCCATCTAAAGCACTGCTCCCCTCCCCCTTCTTTTCCTTCTTAACAGCTGGCCCGAAGAACCTAAACTTAGCAAGGGCGAGGTGTAGGAAACTAGATAGTGCATTCTACAGTTGGATAGGAAATACTGGGCTCAATGTGTTTAAGGTTAAGATTAATTCCTCACTTCCTCCGAATCTATTTTAAAAACAGAGCAAAGGATGGCATATGCTTTCTTCTAACAAAATGACAGATGATCAAAGGATAAACATGATCTGCATGTAAAACCCTCTGACTACTGCCATGGCCCTTTGCCTACAGATTAAAAAAAAAAAAGCAGTATTTTATCAATGTGGTTAAAATTTGGTTGTCTGTGTTTATTCAGAAAACTCAGTAGTGGCAACAGCCAGAAAAATAGTGAATCATGATTGGCTAAATTGAAACAAGCCAGTAGTAGAACAAAGGAAAAACTTAGTGGTACTCTGCTCTTAAATGTCTGCTTCACAGCAATGAACAGAGACCACAGCCTCTCTCTCTGCAAGAGGGAGCTTGAGGTTCAAGTCTGAGACTTAGTTTCTGAAAGCAGAAATCTGCCTGCTGTCGAGGCGGCAAATCAATTTTTCTGATTTGCCGTAACAATCCTAATTGATGTTGGCTCATTATTATTCCCTGCGTTATGTAAACAAGAACTCTCATTGTGTGCAGCCACTCATTAGGGCTGATTTAATTGAATTTGAGAAGGAAAGGAATGGCTGCCTTGGGAAGCAAAGTACCCTAGGCTTCTGAAAGAGCAGCGAGTGCTCCACAAGTGACTTACAAGTGACGCTTATGTCAGATGCGTGCACAGGAAGAATGAGAGCAGACCCTCTCCCCTCCCTTTTTCTCCCTAGAGTGGTTTATATGGCTCTTCATTAATTGTGTTTGCTGCACAGTGCCTCTGCTTTGCTTCTTTGATGTAGTTATTTTTGATGTCCCATCAAGCTATGGCCCCCTTTGAGTTTTTCAAGACCCCACAAGTCCCAGAGAAATGCCATTCAATCTGTGATTCTTTAAGTGTAAAGAAAATCAGCTCAGAAATTGGCAGGCCGAAACATTCTAATGGTGTCAAATTTCATTGTTAGCACTCTGGGCCTTTTTTCAACCAAAGCACTTTGAACTCTGGAAGGAGCCTGGCCTGTCTTTGAATAGGGTGTAATTATCAAGCCCATTCAATCAATCATTTACTCATTCTACAAATACTTCTTGAGTTCCTAATACTATGTGTTGCTCTCTTCTCTAGGCATTGGGAATTAGTGTTAAACAAGACACAAAATGTGTGCTCTCAGGAAGATCATATGCCAGTGCAGAGAGATGATAAACACGAAATCCAATAAATACACAGTTTGTGCCATGAAGAAAATAAAACAAGCTGATGAAATTATAACTACCAGGTGTGTCACTTCGATTGGGTGTTCAGGGAAGACTCAGGAGATGCCATTTGAGCTGAGACATGAATGATATGAAGAAATTGACTATGGAGAGATCAGGGGCAGAACATTCCAGGTGGGGACAAACAGGGTCAACAGTGGTAAGGCAGCAACAAGAGTGGGGAATTCAAGGAGCAGCCAGCAGGCCAGTGGGACTGGGCATAGGAAGGAGTGCAGGTGAAGGGAGGGGGGTCATGGAGCAGGCAATGCCAAGTCTGAAAGACCTTCCTTGTAGAACATGGCAAGGGGTTTGGGTTTGGTTTTATCCTCAGTGCAATGAGAAAGCAGTGATGGGGAAAGGGCCTTATACAGGAAAGTGACAGGATCTGGTTTGAATTTTTGACTTTCTGGCTGCTGCATAGAGAACGTATTGGGGCAAGAGGAAGGGCAGAAGTAATGAGCGTGACCAGTTAGGAAGCTATAACACATGTGAGAAATAATATGAAGATACGATGACGATGATCATGTATGGAGTGATGACTGCCAAGCATTGTGCTAAGCCCTTTGCATGCAGTGTCTCATTTATTTCTCATAAAACCCCTACAAGAAGTTAAGAAAGGTTAAGTTACCTGTCCAAGGTCACAAATAATGGATAAGGCAATTTCACCTCTGCATTCACCTGCCTTGGAATTCAGCAATGAACACTTTGTGAACCCTGGAAAGAAATCCATTTAAGGCAACCATACATACCCCTTTTTATATATCGGATATAGTCCTGGAATTGGAAATTATTTGCTCTCGTAATTCTATTTATTATTATATTGTGTGTCTGTGTGGGTATGTGAAAGAGAAGGTTTTGCAAGCAAGTAACTGTGGAAAAATGCCAAGTAGCAGAGGGAAGCTAGGAGAATGCTGCCGTTACTACCCAGCTGTTTGGTCTGTGGGACCTGGAAGAAAGGGCAACCTCTATTTGAGAACCTTGTCCTGGGGAAGAGCTGGGTTTCAGTTAAGATGAGGAAGTAGAGGGAATGTTCTGTGACAAGTATATGTGGGGGTGGGAAGTTTACAACTGAATGGGATCCCAGAGGACGCACTGGAAAGGCTGGCAGAAAGCAAAGCAGTGGGAGGATGAGTCAGGCGCTAAAATGCACAAAACAACATGGGAATAAGAGTACATGAGAGGATGCGGGTTCAGATGGCTTGCATTGTTGGTGCTGGCCAGGTATCACAGGGATGAGAAGAAGGAAACTAATTGGGCTCATGGTTCCAAACAGAACTTTGGCAAGGGGATCTCTCTCTGCAGAACTCCAGGTACTATTGAAGCCTCTGCAGCCAGTTCCCAGTCCTATTGTCATTTATCTGACTCATGCTTGCCTACAACACACATCATTTCCACCCTTAAAATGGTCAGATGTTCCAAAACAGCCCTGTATACATAATCTATGAGTTTTGAAGTTGAGTTTCTAGGGTTAATTCCTCTCAAAGCATTTGAGATCCTCTAGGCCTATACTGATTAATAGGTTCATCAAAGGACATTAACCTAAATTTAATTTGGAAAATATTACCAACTAAACATGATAGCAGAGAGCAATGTAATAAAATGTGCTTTTGTTGCAACTGCTTTTGACATTTTCTTAACGAAATCTTTGCCTGTACCTATGTCCTCAATGGTATTGCCTAGATTTCCTTCTAGGGTTTTTATAGTTTGGATTTTATATTTTCAAGACTCCTAGAAAAATAGATATCTTCTATTTCAGCCTCCCTTTTGGGTCAGCAGTTGTCCTGAGGGGCAAGCATGGTTGCTAGGAATCATTTCCTCAGGGAAGATGTCCCTTATGTGTCTCCCTGGCCGCCCCCACCAGTGTAAATTAGGTGCTCCTTCTAAGTGCTCAGCTGTACCCTGTGCAGTTTCTGTCCTCAGATTAGTTCTCTCTGGGTCTCCTGCTCTAGACTGTGACCTCCCTTCAGATAGGAAGCTGTGTCTTAATTCATCTTGGAATCCCTGACACATGCATTACATGTGTTCAGTGCATGATAAAAGAACCATTTCCATCCCTCTATATTTCCACTTTATATTACCTTGTCTTAGAATATTGGGTATATGTTTCCTGCTCTTTTGAGGTGGGAGTAAGGGAAGCTCCAAAATAGAAGGGGAAACAATGTTGCTTTATTTTGGGGAAATAGTAATTAGGAAAGAAATCCAACTAGGAGAAGGAAACTAACACTTCTTGAGTCCCACTATGCGGCAGGAAATACGCTAAGCAGCCTCTCTTGCATATTGCATTTAATCCTTCCAACCTTTCATTCTGGAATGTTTGTGTTCTCATTAAAGCACTCTTATACTAACCTGTACAATAACTTTAAGTCAAAAACTTGACTGAACTTGACCAAATTATATGAGCAAGTTAATTACCTGTTATAGTAATACTAAAATAGGTTTTTAAATAGAATGGCACCCATTCTGCTGATCTCTAATCCCAAGAGAGCAAGTTCAACATCAGAAGTCAAAAGACCATTATTTGTATCTGGATCATCCACCCAGGGCGATAGATCAGAGAATTAAGATAATTACATACTTTCTGGTTAATTATCTGAGATGAAATATTCTATAGATGTGTTATATGTCAGTGGAGCTGCAATCTGGTCCAGGCTTTCACAGGAAGCTATTAAAAATGTCCTTGATGCTCAGCAAGAGTCACATGGACTGTCTATCAGAGAATGGAGGGCCACAGAACTCCCACTCACCGATGCCGCTTGGCTTGCAGCCTTTCTTGGCATTAGCCTCAGCCTCGCTACCAACATCCACCTGGCCTCCCCAGTCCAGTTCCCTCCATATGAATCCCGGTCCCTTGCTTTTACATCACACCATCCACAGGCTTAACCTCAGCTTTACCAGTGGCTACCCAGGACCCCTGAAAATTAAGGGTAGTGGGTTAAAAGTGTGAAGAAGGGGGAACCCCATACATCTATACATATGGACAAAATACCTTGCAAACCCTCACTTCCAATTAGATCTGCTCTCAAGATATTGGCCACAACAGATGAGGCAAAGATGATTGACTGCCTCCTCGATGTATTCCCTCCACTCCCTCCGTGGCTAACAGAATGCCCCTTCAGCCTTGGGCTCAGGAATCTGACATAGTACTTACTAGTCAATTAGAGGAAGTCTGCTGGAGGCTTCAAGGAAAGGTTTCCTTTCTAATAAAAAGAGTTGCATGCCAGTCAGAATGGCTATTATGGAAAAAATAAAAAAAAAATCAGGAGCTGGTAATGGAGAAGAAGGAATGTTTATGCACTGTTGGTGGGAGTGTAAATTAGTTCAGCCATTGTGGAAGACAGTATAGCAATTCCTCAAAGACCTAAAGACAGAAATAACATTTGACCCAGCAATCCCAGTACTGGGTATATACCCAAAGGAATATAAATCATTCTACCATAAAGACACATGCACATGAATATTCATTGCAGCACTATTCACAATAGCAAAGATATGGAATCAACCTAAATGCCCATCAGTGATAGACTGGATAAAGAAAATGTGGTAAATATACACCATGGAATGCTATACAGCCGTAAAAAAGAATGAGATCATGTCTTTTGCAGCAATATGGATGGAGCTGGAGGCCATCATCCTTAGCAAACTAATGCAGGAACAGAAAACCAAATACCACATGTTCTCACTTATAAGTGGGAGCTAAATTAGGTGAACACATGGACACATAGAGGGGAACAACACACATGGAGGCCTTTTGGAGGGTAGAGGGTGGGAAGAGGGAGAAGATCAAGAAAAACAAGTAATGGGTACTAGGTTTAATACTTAGGGGATGAAATAATCTGTACAACGATCCCCCATGACACAAGTTTACCTATGTAACAAACCTGCACTTGTACCCCTGAACTTAAAATAAAAGTTAAAAAAAAGAGCTGCATGGGGACAAACTGTCCTTTCTTTCTTTGGACATGATCATGGGAGGACGCAATGCTTGTAGCAGATTTCCCTTTTGTGCCCATGAAGGGAAAATCAAGAAATATGAAAGAAGTTGACCTGTAGTCCAATTAACCAATTCTGGCACTATGGGAGAAAATAAATGCTTTATTGGTTAAGTCACTTTTAGTTGGATATTCTGATATTTACAGCCAAAAGCATCCTCACTGATTCAATGGAAAAACCCAGAAACTTCTAGTCTGTTACTCATATCTTGATATGGGCTGTATAGAGGGCATGCTTTCAGCAACAGGAATACCTTTCTAATTATGGCAATTCTGGTCTCATGGCAGACATTAAGAGTTGTTTGGGGAAGAAAGCCATCCTAAGACTAGCCCCCTCCATGATCTTGCAGAAATGACCAAAAGTCTTGACATCTATATTAAGAAACAGTAACTATGACCAGCTACCGCCTGATTTAAGATGCTGCCTAAGACCAGCATCTTACAACTCAGTGCAATACTGAAAAATCAGGTTCACTTGTTTTATGAGTTTTTCAGTTGGGAAAGAATTCCACCCTATAAGCATCAGTTGTATTTGAACTTCATTCTCTGGGGTATAGAAATCATGGCAGAGACCACAGAATCCTAGAATTTTAGAATTGGAAAAAAGTTGAAGATCATCTAGATAAAACATTTGATTTTATAGATAAGGACAGAAGTACATGACTTATCTCCTCTGGATAATTACTGAGATCCTTAAAACTAATAAAACGCTCACTTTTTATGATGAGAGAGAATTTCTTCAATAACTTCTAGACCATCTACTTTAAACAAGACAGCTTACTTTTACCAGGTGCTTGGCATGCAGAATTTTCTTTATAAATGTTTGTTGAATTAGGTGGAAAAAAATGAACTCATGCAAAAGAAAAATAATCTGGCTTCTTTCTCTGCGTTCTCAAGATGTTATATGAAAGAGACCATGGGCTGCCACGTTTCTGAATTAGCATCAAGATAAAATTATTCCTTCAAATAATTAAGCCAGAATGAATAAACTAAATTTGCATTTAGGCCTAGTTTACCCCTTTCCCTCTAGGATCTTATAAACATGTAAGTATATGTTTATTAGCCATATTAGAAACATGTAAATATATGTTTATTAGCCATATTAGAACTAGTTTACCCCTTTCCCTCTAGGATCTTATAGACACGTAAGTATATGTTTATTAGCCATATTAGAATGTTGTATTCCTACTTTTATTTTACTACTTAGACCCCATGCACTGGGGAGTGTGTGTGCCCTTCTCCTCTCCCAGTTCTAAAAGGAAATGATCCCGTGACACTCTTTAAGTCAAGCTCAGCTGCCTGTCTCACCCTGGGAAACTAATAAGAGAACAGCCCCACCCCCAACCCCATTTCCTGCCTCCTCCTCTCTGCTGTTTCCCAACAAGCTGTCTGCCCTCAGGAATCAAAAGTGTCAACAGCTGAAGAGAAAGCAAGACCTAACTAAGGTTTTCAGAGTTTGTAACAAACAACATGGACGTATTTTCTATCAAAAGAATGGCATTTGTACTTTGACAAGGTATGGATATACTGAAAAGCTGAAATGAATTTAAGGAGTTTTTTGATCCTACAGTTGATAGGTTCAGATTCAAAATAACTTCTGATGGGAGAAAATAAAATCCTAGTATTATCTATTACTTCCCTTGTAGGGAGCACAAACCTTACGCACAAGAGGTTCACCTGGGAGTAATTTCAAGCATACAAGGAGTAAGAAAATAAGATTTTAATACAAATATCTTAGGGAGAGGTAACATGTTGATTTAAATGCATGCTCAGATTAAATACGAACAAGATTATTCCTAAACCTTTGTTTAAATAGTGGGGAGAGGAGAAAGTCTGGGTTGGGAGAAAGGATGTGTAAATGCTGAGAAGTAGAGAAATGAACAGCAGAAAGAGGATCCCAAAACAAAAGAGTCCCTGCTTCAGCAGCCTCTCAGTATGGTCCTGTTCATGGAATTAGATGTGATGCTTCTCAGGGGCTTCAGAATATGAGTTACAGGAGCAGGCAACGTGTCACCTCCAGAGAGGTGGTCTGCCCCACCTCTCCCTAGGCAGCAAAACACAACCACTTGGTTTGCATTCATCTCAAGCACATCATTACTGGCCAAATTGTAAGGGTGTTTCTCAGAAGGAGATGTGCAAATGGAATGTGTGAAGAATACTGTGGAATAATGAAGCTGATATCCTGCCTTTGTCCCTGGTTTCTGGTACAGAGCTTTGCAAACCCTTAGCATTTCCCCAGTGTTATGTCCCCGCCCCACCCCACAAAATTCATGTGTTGAAGTCCTAACCAGTACCTGAGAATGTGACTGTATTTGTAGACAGGGTCTTTCCAGAGGTTAATGAAGTAAATGAGGTCATTAGAGTGGGCCCCAAATCCAATAGGACTGATGTCCTACTGGAAATTAGGACACAGACATACGCAGAGGGAAGACCAAGTAAAACCACAGGGAGAAAAGAGACATCTGAAGCCAAGGAGAGAGGCCTCAGAAGAAACCAACCTTTCCCATACCCTCTTGTTCTCTGACATCTAGCTTCCAGAATTGTGAGAAAATAAATTTCTATTAGTGAAGAAATCCAGTCAGTGGTAGTTTGTTATGGCAGCCCTAGCAAACCAATATACTGAGTAGCAGGAGTGTCTGTTATGATGATGAGGGGACTCTTGGTAGGCACCTAGATAGCTTCAGGATGGGGGCTGGTCACCAGAGAGACCAATCATGTGATTAGAGGATTGGGACTTTGGGCCCACTGGACCTCCAGGAAAAGTAGATGTGCTAGAAATTAAGTTCAATCACATGGCCAGTGATTTAATCAAGGACATCTAAGTAATGAATCCCCAGTGAAAACCCTGGACCCAAGCTTGGAGGGGTTTCCTGGTTGGTGAACACGTTGATGAGCCGGGGGATGATACACCAGGATTTCATGAGGGGAGGACATAGAAACTTAGCGTTGGCCCCCACTCAAGACCTTGCCCTGTGCATCTCTTAGTTGTCGTTCCTGATCTGTATGCTTCATAATAAAATCGTAAGTATAATGCTTCTAGTCAGTTGAGTGTGTTGTTCTAGCAAATTATCAAACTTGGGAGGATTGTGGGACCCTTCAAATATATAGCTGGTTGTCAGAAATAGGGATGGCTCCCGGGGCTTCTGGCTGGCATCTGAAGTAAGGGCAGTTTTGTGGGACTGAACCTTTAAATTGTGGAGTCACACTAATTCTGGGTAGTTGGTGTCAGAATGGAATTGAATTGCAGGACATCCAGCTGGTGTCAAGGAACTGGAGTCAGAACAATAAGATTCTTCTGACAACCCTGTAGTTTGAACTCTTTTCACAAGGCATTTTGTCTACCATCCCAAATGTAAAACATTCCTTTCTTAGAGGAAATGTTCCTCTGAAATTATTCAAGGCTCTTCAGACAAAAAACAGAAAGAGAGAGAGAGAATTTTAGCCAAGTTCTATCTCCCAGATATTTTCATAAGCAATATGCTTTGCTCATTCAGAAAACCTAAATCTTTGGTAACAGCAACAATTTGACATACTACCAGCCAAAGTAACTCTTAGAGATTTTTGCTGAATTTAAATTTTCAAGTGAAAGATACATAAGTTTGGGAGATGATTTGTTGCTATTATGAAAGGAGAAAGTAGAGCAAAAAATAGAGTAAAAGTAGAGTAGGCTTTCATTACTTAGAAAATGATACTTTCATCATCCATACGGTTGGCTTTGAGTAGTTCTAATAATGCCAAAAGTTCTTGGAGATAGTTGTGAGGAACACCCACGATTCCCTTAGCAGAAACAAGAGCAAAGTAATTGCATAAGTAGATGTTAAATTATATTCAAGTTCTCTTTTCTGGGAAAGAAATAAAGCAACCAAAAACTTGTATAAATGTGGTACAAAAGTGACAGCATAGAAAACATCAAGACCAAAGCAATTATCCCTTTAGTCTTCTAGCATGAAGCATTGTTGTAGTGAGTTGAAAGGAGATTTGACCCCAAATAAAATGGAATTAGGTGACTTTTTTTTTCCAGGAAACTAGTTTAAAAATTAAGAGGAATATTAAAGGCATAGTTATTAAAATAAAATTTAGTCAAAGTCAGTCATGTGTTTAAAAAAGAAAAAAAATTGTTTACAGGCCAGGCGGGTGGCTCACGCCTGTAATCCCAGCACTTTGGGAGGCCGAGGCAGGCAGATCACAAGGTCAGGAGATCGAGACCATCCTGGCTAACATGGTGAAACCCCATCTCTACTAAAAATACAAAAAATTAGCTGAGTGTGGTGGTGGGCACCTGTAGTCGCAGCTACTCGGGAGGCTGAGGCAGGAGAATGGCGTGAACCCAGGAGGCGGAGCTTGCAGTGAGCCGAGATTGCGCCACTGCGCCACTGCACTCCAGCCTGGGCGACAGAGCAAGACTCCATCTCAAAAAAAAAAAAAAGAAAAAAAATTGTTTACAGCTGTTTTAGTAGGTGAAAAGAAGGCCAGAGAGTCTTCTACAAAAAGAGAAAACTTATAATATACTGAGGTGTCCTCCTACCCAAGCCATCACTTGACAAGTCTCAAGAAACATAGGAAATTTACATAAATTCTCACTTCTTTATGGCATTGAATAAAAATTATTTAATTGTAATTTACTTTAAAATACGTTGGCAAAAAGATCATGTAGATATGCATACATTGCTTAATCTAGGTTGTGAATAAGTGGATGTTCACTAAATATTTTTTCTACTTTTCTATATGTTGAAAGTTTTTTACAATAAAAAGTCTAAAATTAGTTAATCAAACAAGAGACGTTTAAAAACAAAATGTAGAAAGGCTACAGAATTCAAATATCCCATTAGCTGTTGCCAAAAAGGACCAAATATTATTAAGACTTTTCCTAAAACATGATTAAAAGATAAAGACTGCCTTTTATCTTAGGCTTATAAGATTTTATATATTTTTATCACAAGATGAGAACTAAGACACCTGAGAAACAAAGGGAGTGAATAAATTCTTGTTGTAGTCAATTAAACATAAAGATGTGTTGGTGTTTGTGTTTACATCAAAGAAATATACAATATTTGTCAATGAAGAGAATGAAATTCTAAAACCAATAGGTAAATATGCACCCAGCTGTCTGACAGATATATGCCCCCAGGGGATTGATACTTGATAAGGAAAAATGGCACTTCCATACCCAAAATAATTATAAATTATATAAAGAATGGAGCTAAATTAAATACAGTTATGGATTAAAATGTATTATAGATACATGTGTATAGAGTATTTCTGGTAAGCAGAATAATGGTTCCCCGACGATGTCCACATCTTAATCCCCAGAACCTGTTACTTTCCATGGCCAAAGGGACTTTATAGATATGATTAAGTTACAGATCTTGAGATGGGAAGATTACTCTAAATTATTTGAGTGGGATTACTGTACTCACAGGGTACTTAAAAGAGGGAGGCAGGAGAATCGGAGTTAGAAAAGATGTGACAATAGAAGCAGAGGTTGAAATGATATGGGGCCACAAGCCAAAGGATGTGGGCAGCCTCTGGAAACTAGAAAGAGCAAAGGAATGGATTATTTCCAGGAGCCTCCATAAGAGGCATAGCCCTCCCGACCCATTTCAGACTTTTGAGTTCTACAGCTGTAAAACAATAAATTTCTGTTGTTTTAAGCCACTAAATTTTTGGTAATTTGTTACAGCAGGGTTAGAAAACATAAAGTGTATTATAAGTGAGGGTGTTGTAGAGGTTAGAAAAGAGATAAATATATATTAAATAAAGGAGTCTTCATGGGAGAAATGAGATATGTGAAATATATTAACAGATTTTAGAGACTAGAGAGGCTCTTGAGCTTAGAGAGATGAAATGCATAACCCAGTATTGAACGGATATATCTTATTAATAAAAAGCAAAGAGGCAGAGAAATGGCAACACTCTAGGGTAAACTGGTGAAACCTCATCTGGGAATCCATGATTCTGATAATACACACAAATTAGGAAATATTTAGGTGGGGATAAAAACAAAAAGGATACAAATGAAATGTCCGTGGGCAGCTTCATAGAACACCAAGCTACGTGAAAGTCATTGCTTTCCTAACAGAGATTAAAAATTAATGGAATATGCAGAAGATGAACCCCTTCCTTACACCATACATAAAAATCAATTCAAGATGGATTAAAGATTTAAATATAAAACCTTAAACTATAAAAACCATGGCAGATAACCTAGGAAATACCATTCTGGACACAGCCCTAGCAAAGATTTCATGACAAAGAGGCCAAAAGCAATTGCGACAAAAACAAAAATTGACAAGTGAGACCTAATTAAACTAAAGAGCTTCTGCACAGCAAAAGAATATACCAACAGAGTAAACAGACAACCTACAGAATGGGAGAAAATATTTGCAAACTATGCATCCAACAAAGGTCTAATATCTAGAATCTATAAGGAACTTAAACAAATCAGCAAGCAAAAAACAACCTCATTAAAAAGTGGGCAAAGGACATGAACAGACACTTTTCTAAAGAAGACATAAACACAGCCAACAATCATATGAAACAGTGCTCAACAGCACTAATCACTAGAGAAATGCAAATCAAAACCACAATGAGACACCATCTTACACCAGTCAAAGTGGCTATTATTAAAAAGTCAAAAAGTGACAGATGCTGGCAAGGTTGCAGAGAAAAGAGAATGCTATACACTGCTGGTGGGTGTGTACATTATTTCAGCCATTGTGGAAAGCAGTGTGGTGAATTCTTAAAAAAACGTAAAACAGAATTACCATTTGACCCAGTAAGTCCATTACTGGGTATCTACCCAAAGGAATAGAAATCATTCTACCGTAAAGACACAGGCACATGTATATTGATCACAGCACTATTCGCGATAGCAAAGACATGGAATCAACCTAAATTTTCATTAATAGTAGACTGGATAAGGAAAATGTGATACATACACACATTGGAATGCTATGCAGCCATAAAAAAGAACAAGATCCTATCCTTTGCAGCAACATGGATGGAGCTGGAGGCCATTATCCTAAGCAAACTAATGCATGAACAGAAAACCAAATACCACATGTTCTCACTTATAAGTGGGAGCTAAACATTAAGAACACATGGACACAAAGAAGGGAACAACAGATACAACATGGAGCCTACTTGAGGGAGAAGATCAAAAAACTACCTATTGGGTACTATGCTTATTACCTGGGTCAGAAAATAATCCATACACCAAACCCCTGACACACAATTTACCTATATAACAAACCTGTACATGTACCCCTAAACCTAAAATATGAGTTAAAAAGAAAAGAAAAAAATCCATGGCAGAGTTCAACTGTACTAATGAACCCTAATGACATCAACAGTTTCTAAAAGTCCTTTTCTACTGAAAACCAAGTATCAGACTCATTCTTTACTTGCCCTGCTGGTAATATCATCTCTTGGGATGCACAGGAAGCCACAAAGGGAACTGATACTCCATACCTAATTCCAAGAAATAAGGGAAATGTGGTTGGTGATTGAATGTGACAGGAAGTGACGATGTCATTTTGGAGCCTGTAATAGTGAAAGAAAGGATAGCTGCAAACTGTTGGACATGTACCATAGGCTTTAGACAACAGGACACTTTATTTTAGAGAAAAGATAGATATGACTGGAGATCTTGAAAAGGAATTTGGCACATGTGGGTTCAGATATTTTACAAGTATGAAATTCTAGGTAAATTGTCACAATCCCATCCTTTTTGGAAGAAAAGTGGAGTAGCATTTAAAGAAATAAAAGATTTCACAGAAGTTGTCTGATTAGCTCAGACTCAAAACTATACATTTTTTTAAAAGGATAGGCATAAAACCAGGAATAACCACCTATAAGTATAGACTTTGTGAGGGTAGAAATAGCTTTTTTCCTTAATTTTGTATCTGTAAAAATTGTGTCAGAAAGTAAAAAACTTCCATAGGTAATTAACAAACTTTAAGGGCAACTAATATTTAATTAATTAAGTATGATTGATATATATGATATAGCATATTGATTATTGATCATATATTGATACGCTATATGAGATTAATATGGTATAATCTCAATAGATGATAGAAGACATATCCATTTTTGCTTCCAGATTCATTATAAAGAATGATGTTCAATTTTTTAAATTAAGATAAGCATGTTAAATATTATAATAAAGGAGAGTGGTCCTCAAAGTAAAATAGTTCAAGAGAGCAGAATGGGCACATGTTTGATTTCCTCTCCATCAGATACCATTGATATAGAATAAAGATATACAAATATAACCCAAATAAACATCTGTGCCCCAAATTATAGCTTTAACATGGTGTCTTCCTTAATGAAAAAAAAATCCCAACCATATAGTAAGAAGTGCATTCTTAGGTCACAGCAAATACCTGCAATAACCTCTTTCCATCTTCTTCTATATCTTCTCCCCTGTAGCAGCAGTACTCTGTGTGTGTGTGTGTTTGTGTGTCCCAAATCTCCCAGATACTTACCCCTCATATTCTTATCCTTCCTCCATTCCCCACATACTACTATAATATCTCCCTACTATACACTTACAAGTAGCAACAGTTACAAATAGAAACTTTTATTCTTCTCCGTGAGCTGCATCAGATAGCTTCAGAATTCTGGAAAATACAATGTTTCTTCACTTTTCTCCTCAAGAAGAAAATGTGTGGAGCTTCCTAGGAAGTATAATTTTCTCACTCTAACAAATTTTCAAATCTTTTTGGAGAACTTCTGGTGAACAAAATTCTCTACCACATGACCCCAAAAAGAATAAATTTATAGATGTGATGAAGTAAAACAATGTGGCATCAGACAGATGTTTTTGATAGAGTTTCTGACAAAGTGAGTCTAATCATATTAACATATAGCCAGAGTTAGGAAACAATAGATGAACAAAGAAAATTCCCAGAAGTGGAATACCAGAGGCAGCAGAAGTAGAGGCAGAGTCATTCTTCTTTAGAGAACCAAGAGAGGTCCAGACTCAAGATTGGAAGGTAGAGAATGCAGCATTGGATCTGGGGAAGCAATCAGCAAAAAAGACAGAGTGATGCATTACTGTCCCTGCCAGGTAAAAGCCAACTGCTCTACTAGTCTCTGCTATTCGGTTTGGAGAAACGAAGCATTTTCCAGATCACTAGCAGATGTGAGGGGCTATACTAATTGATTCTAGCAAAGATAAGACTTTAGGAACAATCGATGCAATTAGAGTCACTATCGGATTACATTTTGGATACCCTACTGTCATTATCCAAGATCCATCTGTCTTCTTGCACAGGCCAAACAGACAATAAATGAAGAATAGGAATCACCAGCCATGCATCTTGCACATCGTTAATGGCAACCTTAATCTCTGCTATTCTCTTGAGGATTCAGTATTGCTTTGGTTTATAAATTTGTCCTTTCTACTATAATAAATCTTAAACTACAAGTCAGAGTGAATATTTTGCTAGTTGCTTAGTATGCCTATTCTAACTTTCCATTCAGGTCCTGGGGAAAAACCACTAGTTAGATCTGTGAACCTATTGGACCCACCATGATAGAGGCTTGGGGCAATTGACACCTGCATTAGTCAAAATCATCTATGTTATGTAGAAAAACAAATAACTCCAAATATCAGTGACTTATAAAAACAGAAGATAATTTCTTGTCCATATTACATGTCCATCATGGGCTGGATATGGCTCTATCCTACACTTCTTTGCTCCAGGGTCTAGGCTAGTAGCTGCTATCTGGAGCATTGCTAATCTTGTGGGAAAAGAAAAAGAAACATGGGAAAACATACTGTGTCTTAAAGCTTTTGTCCAGGAGTGACATATGACACATGCCCACATGTTATCAGCCAAAGCAAATCACACATACACTCCTGAGTTCAAAATGGCATCATAGAATCCTGCCATCTTGAAGGCACTGCAAAGAAAGAAAATGGAGTATTCAACAAATAGTAATAGGATCTACTGCATTGTCTGACCTGCATGGACTTCCACCCTGACTGCGGGACCACAGCGACATGTTGGAGACCTATGGAGTAATGTCATCTCAGAGGCAGTATACAGTAAGTCCAGAAAAATCTTGGAATTCCTCTGTAGAATATTTAAAACATGTACTTGTAGCAATGTCAGAAGATTCTTCCTCCAGGAGATAGGCTTTCCTTCCCATTCTAGGGTTCCAGATTTGAGAAGTGGCTGAGGTCTGGAAATGGTGTGAACAGTATTAACTCTCCATTGTGATTAAAATTAAGCCTGTACTCATGACTTAGAACTTTTTCTATTTTATATATAAAGTAAAATTGTATTACATAAATATAAAATTGCCCATCTATTTCAGTCTTAAGGACACTCTGATCAATTAGCCATAATCAAAAATATGTGTGGGGTAAACTTTTCTAACTATCACTAATCAATCCCACCCCACCTTGTCTTGTCAGTATCTGCTGCCACTTACCGTCTATCACTCTGAAATCCTTCATCCTCACTGAAATCAAGGAGCCTATTTCTACAGTAGCATCTTCAGTCATCATCCTCAGCTTTGAAGGACAGACACAAGAGGGCTTTCCAAGAAAGATGGAGTTCCTCTGACTAATGTTTTCCCCTATGTTTTGATAAAGGTAGTATCCTTTGATATCTTTGATGAGATGAGTAAGAGTGTGTATTAGTTTGCTAAGACTGCCATAATAAAATACCACAGACTGGTTGGCTAGAACAGCAGAAATTTATTTTCCCACAGTTCTAGAGGCTGGAAGTTCAAGATCAAGATAGGGTCAGTTTCTCCTGAGACCTCGGTCTTTGGCTTGCAGACAGCCATCTTCTCATTGAATCCTCACCCAGCCTTTCCTCTCTACCCTGAGACCTCTGTCTTTGGCATGCAGACAGCTATCTTCTCATTGAATCCTCACCCAGTGTTTCCTCTCTACATGTGCATCCCCAGTGTCTCTTCTTTTACTTAGAAGGACACCAGTAATAGTGAATTAAGGCCTCGTCCTTGGGACCTCACTTGACATTAATTACCTGTTTAATGACCCTATCTCCAAATAGTCACATTGGGGATTAAGTCTTCAAAACATGAATGGATAGGGGGACATAATTCAGTCCACAACATACTCTTCTTTCTTAATATGTCACATATTAATTAATATGTCCTATAACTCTAAAAGATAAGATATTATTTTGAGGCAGTCACAACAGAAGCTCTCTGGTTTTCTGATAATGTCTAAGCAAACATTTTTAAACCCTGAGGTCATTTCTGTAATCTCTCCAGTGTACTCAGAAATATCCAGCCCACCACGCAGTCTCTGTAGTCTTCACTCCAACAGTATGCAAATACTGCAACAGCATCTTTGTCTCCCAAAACTATATCTTTAATATTAGGCACTTAATTCCATGCAAGTATAGGTAATAATTTATGTAACTCTTTTGCCATGAACTACTGATATCTCAGAGATCATCACTGCTTCAAATCTTAGTTATTGGAGGTATCCAATAACTAAGCCAAATTCATATTTTTGAAGATCTTTTTCTTGAAGCCATTCTTGGTAAGTGTTCAATTAGAAAAAAAAATCTATTATAGATACTCCAAGCAGGAAATAATCTACTATACTGACCTCATACTGCTGAAATGGCTAGAGGGGTAGGAGGATGCTACACAATAATCAGGAAACCACATAAATCTGTTGGTAAAGCTACAGCTGCTAGTAATGCATATTGAAACACAAGACAGCCACTGCAAAAGCCCATGCTTTTGCATGTCACTACTTCTGATAGAAGAATTAAACATACCTCGCTTCCTACTTTTAAGTATCATATGAACATCTTTCATTGACCTACTCTAAACAAGAACATTGATAGCAAGGAATTCTGGGAAATGTAGTTTCCAAGCTTCCAGCCTCTATCATACAGGAAATACCAAGAAAGCTACTGAATACCGGTAGACAGATACCTGGCACACACTTTCTCTGGAAGTCATTGGAGGATATCCTCCACAAAATGAAAGATTAAACCAAAAAGGAAGACATCATGAGATCCTAGAAACTCAGAATTCAAGACAGAAGAGAGACAAAAGAACTTTCCTGGATGATGACATTAGAAAGTCCTAGGATAACAGCTATATTACTTGCCTATATAGCAGCCAACCCAAATTAGAACAGAGGGATGAGGAAATTTAAGAGAAGACTTTAAGGAAAACAAATGAAACTGATAACATAGTATGACTATGTTGACAGGAATTTTATAGTTCTTTTGGAAAGATAAGAAAGAATTAGATATAAGACAAGTACAGCTTGGTGCAATGGCTTATGCCTGTAATCCCAGCACCTTGGGGGGCCAACAGAGGTGGATCACTTGAGGTCAGGAATTCAAGATCAGCCTCGCCAACGTGGCGAAATACCATCTCTATCAAAAAATACAAAATAATTAGCTGGGCATGGTGGTGCATGCCTGTAGTCCCAGCTACTCGGGAAGCTGAGGCAGGAGAATCACTTGAACCCGGTAGGCAGAGGTTGCAGTCAACCAAGATCGTGCCACTGCATACACTCCAGCCTAGGTGACAGAGCGAGACTCCATCTCAAAAAAATACAAAAACAGAACAAAACAAACAAACAAACAAACAAAAAAAGACAGGTACATAAAAAATCTAAACAAAAAAGGAAGGCAATAACTACAGGAAAAACACAAAAGGGTACTCTACTTGGTTTAATGACTAAGGTTTATAGTCATAACACTAAAACACTAAATATTAGTTTAATCAAAATTATAATTATGTTGGAAACAGGGGATAGATAAGTCAAAGTGGTAGTATAAGAAAGTTAAGTTCTCACCTGCTGTGAAAAGTACAGGTTAGTTTTAAAATGGATAAACATATAAAGAGTAATATAATTATTTTTATTTCAGAATTGGAGGTAAATACTAGAAGAAATAGTTAAAGATGTAAAAGTTGATTGATTCTAGGAATTTGTTAGTAGGGATGGGGAGGAGTTAAAAAGGGGCCTGCCATTTTTTGTTATGAGCCTTGCAGAATTGACTATTAAACCATATGTATGTACTAGTTAAATATAAAATAGGAAAAATTTTTAAAAGACTGAATGGGAAGAAAGCAAATAGAGGCACAAGCCATAGCTTGGTGTGTCTCAAACTTTAATGTACATATAAATTACCCGAGGATCTTATTCAAATGCACCTACTGCCTCAGTAGATCTGAAATGGGATCTGAGATTCTACATTTCTTTCAACCTCCCAGATGATGTCAAGGCTGCTGATCCACAAACCATAACTTTGAGTAACGAAGATGTATACTGTTCTTTGTCTTAGGGAGACAGAAAGAGAAGTAATTAGATGAATACCAAGGATAAAAGTGGGGTTGTAATTGTGAGAGGTTACCCTCTTTCCACTCTATATTCTGCCTGAAAATGTATGCATGCTTTAAGTTTTTTCTGTGAAACTTTCCTGAAATTTCTCCCTCTCACTCCCACCATCAGCCCCAAGCAAATTAATTATTTCCCAGCTTGGAAGCTCCCAGAAAAATCTATAAGAGCACTTGTCTCATTGTATTGTTATAGTTGTTATCTTGTCTGCTTCCCCCAATAATTGCAGGAACATAAATCCTGGTTTCTTTTCCTAAACTGGTGTAATCCTTGAATTTAGCATAAATATCTGAAATATCGAAATTTAAATAAATGCTTAGGAGAAACAAATCATTAATGAGTGAACATAGTCACAAATTATAGTCACTAGAATTGTTTGGAAGACAGGTACATGCTCATCGGTGATATTATAGAAGGAATTTTAGGTGGCAAAAAGTAGATGACCATATAAATCCCCTCCTAAGAGCCTATGATTCTATACCCTGGATGTTATGAAATAGTAATAATAACATTGCCGTGGGATATTTGTTATCGTGTTTTCATGCTTTCAGTAATTTATTTTGAGGAATTTTTAAGCTTTTTTTTTTTGAGACTGAGTTTCACTCTTGTTGCCCAGGCAGAGTGCAGTGGTGCGATCTTGGCTCACTGAAACCTCTGCCTCCCAGGTTCAAGTGATTCTTCTGCCTCAGCCTCCTGAGTAGCTGGGATTACAGGTGCCCACCACCACACCTGGCTAATTTTTTGTATTTTTAGTAGTCATGGGGTTGCACCATGTTGGCCAGGCTGGTCTCGAACTCCTGACCTCAGGTAGTCCACCTGCCTCAGCCTCCCAAAGAGCTGGGATTATAGGCGTGAGCCACCACACCTGGCTGAATTTTTAAGCTTTTAATACACCTGGTTACAGCCAATCCCCTAAGTACTGAGAAAAAAAAAGAATGTAGAAGTAGGCTTAGGAAACTATACAAGGTTTTAGCCATCAAAGTTACTCTGGCAAGTTTCAGATCCCATAAACAAAACTGACCTCAACTTGGCAGCCGCTGCACCCTAAATTATGGGGCTGAAAAGGCCAACACTCATTCTAATTAGGATGATAACCAGCTGTTAGAAATGAGCAACTGAGCCTAGAGAGGGTACACTGCCAGCCCAATTTTTAAATAGCAGGAAGTTAATTAAAATAATAAGAAAAGAGCGATAAGACACTGATATATTGTTCCAGCTAGTCCTGGGAGGTAGAAAGTGCTGACCTCAGATGGATGTATCATTCCACATTTTGGGTTTAAGGTTACAAACGTCTGCAAATGTGGGAGTAAATGATAATGATTAGAAAAGAAATTAGGAAAAAATAAAGCATTGGAAGAGAAAGGAGCTGGGGCAGCCAATGATCTGTCATCTGCCAAAATTTAGACTTCAATTTGTATTTCAAGGTCTGGAAGGGAGCTTTTAGATCAGTTATTAGTGAGTGGATACTATTCCGGGATGCACATTAAAATCACCTAGATGCTTTTAAATAATTACTGATACTCAAGTACCAAAACAAGGAATTCTGATGTACCAGGTTTGGACTGGGGTCCAGGTCTCAGGTCATTAATTTGCCCAAGATCACTCAGCTTTTAGTTAGTTGCAGGCTAGTGATGATCATTGTTGGTATCCGGGTCTACTGACTCCCAATTTAACACATGCTTTCTTCTACCCTCTACAGTGACCACTCCCTGATATGCTGCAGATGCAATTGAGTAGCAGCTTCATTCCACATTTCTCCAACATCTTTCATGGTGAGGTCAAGAGCATATTCAAAACCATGTGTGGCTCAGTCCAACTGGAGAGACCAAGTCAAAGAGCCTCATTTCCATAAGGTAGAATCTTGTCCATACCTCTTCACTCACAACACAGACCAATCTTGCAGAAGCCAGGAGGTTCTGAGTAAGGTCTGCATAAAGAAATAATACCATAGTTTCCAATTGGCCAGTTTCGTTCTCTAACCAAACAGCTGCTGCCTGCTTACTGAGTGTGCATGCCCACGCACACTCACACTGACTGTAACTCACCATCAGCTGTAACCAGGCAGTTCTCTCAAGCCATCTGCAGCTGGGCAAAAACCTAGAATGATTAAGTCATTGATAGAACACCACTTTCCTAAAAATGGCAATACTTAAATACATCTAATCCTGATCAATACCTTGATATTCTATATCATACATTTAAAAATCAAGTTGCCTAATTATTTTAAATATATTCCAAATGAACAAAAACACATTATAACTCCAAATCACCATGTTACCACCACCATGGCGTGGAACCTTCCTGTCCACTCCAGAAGGCAGTTTTGTGCCCTCCTGGGCACCTGTGTCGCAGCCTAGAGACACTTAGACATCCACCGGGATAGTCCCAGGGCTCAGCTGTGTTGTTTCCATGTCTCAGTGATCACTTTTCTTTGTTGCCTGATGTCTCAACATTTTGAAAACTGCTGTTTCACATATTTTGTCTGGTTTTCTAGTTGCTTCAGACAGGAGTTAACTACAGTCCTTATTACTTTGTCTTTCCTGAAAGCAGAAGTCTTTTAACTAAAGAAGGGTAGATATTAAATGTATCATCTTTAGAATTTGATGAGAAAGTAAAATTGCTTCCTCACTGTCCTCACCGGATTCACAGGGGGAAATGATTCAGAGGCTTTTGCCTTTACCTCCTAGAGCATGTTCTTGCAACTGTTGGGCTAGTCTTATCTGGCCAAACTCTGTTACTAACAGAATGTCTAGTTATTTTGCAGGCACAGAGTTAAGAAGTGGCAAGTTAACACAGCCAGAGCATGCACAGAAGAAAACTTCGACCTCAAATAACACCTAGAACCAAAGTCCCTACCGCAGAACTAAAAGATTGGGATGTGGCTGGAACTCAAGCACCTAAACACTTTCAAAAGTGAGCAGTTCGTTTTCTAGGAATGTTCACTGATAAGACCCTTCCCCTTGCCTTACCATAAATAGTTACTTAAAGATCCTCCAATAATAAAAACCTCCCCTGCCAGTGCTTCTGCATACCAATCTACCCTCCTTAAGTGATAAAACTTGCTGCAAATCCCAGATTAGAGAGACAGATTTGAGTTATCCTCCTGTCTTCTTATAGGTGGACCTCACAACAAATCTTTTCTTTCCTCAAAAACTGGTGCCATATCATTGGCTTCTATGTGCATCAGACAGCAAGCCCATTGCTCAATGACGTTCTGACTACTACATTTCCTCAGTTCTAAGATGTCAAGTGCAAGACACATTTTTCATCTAAAAGTCATTTTAGAGGGTTTGGTGAGAAACCCAGCACACTGAAAGTACACCAAATTGTAAGGTGCATCTTTATTTCAGAGATATTAGCTTATTAACAACTACTCATCTTAAAATTGAGGAAATGTGATTTCCTTTTACCTTTGAATTTTTGTCACCTATAACAAAACTTCCCTTGTTGCAAACAAACCTGTAGAAGGGATAGCGTTACTGATATGGCAAACAGACATGCCACAACTCTAAGATCCCAAACCTTCTAAATGGTGATCAGATCGGTATGAGTACTTCAGTCATGCTGTGGATAAGAGAAACTTCTGTGGACCTTTCTAAGATCCCTATCTGATTCTCTATCAGTCATGTTGTGGACAAGAGAAACTTATGTGGACCTTACTAAGATCCCTATCTATTCTCTATTTATAAAGCATTCTTTGAGTGAAAAAAATTGTTTCCAGGCAAAGAGAAAATAACCTTCTTTCCTGATCCTCTAGAACTCTCTTTGTTACTTTGGTGACAGTGTCTGGAGTATATGAAAGAAGGGAATTCATGATACAGAGAGGATTTCACTCCCATCTGTTAGATTGGTGGTTCTCTAGTGCATCAGAATTACCTGGAGGGGATGTTATCCCACACATTTTGGACCCCACTCCAGAGTTCCAGAAGTGGTTAAGGTAGAGATGGGACCCCAGCATTTGCATTTCTAACAAGTTTCCAGGTGATGCTAAGGCAGCCAGTCCTGGAACTACACTTTGAGAATCACTGCTGTGGAGGCTTATTGGCCACAGGCCACGTGGTTTGCAAGAGGATAGAACTCCCTGTCTTGGGGACATCTGTCTTTTAGATTTGGTGATAAGCATAGGTTGACCTTTGTATGGATAAGGCATTCATAAGTCAGATGTTTCCATCCTTAAGGACCCATGCTTATCTATCCTACAGTTTTAACACAGCTTACCTATTTGCTTGTTTTGTTGTTGTTGTTGTTGTTTTTAAAGAATGAGTTTTAGATGATCGTCTTCCATTACTAAACTTCAGAGGAATAAAGTATAGGTTGCTTTTATCCAAGGGAAGAGAGGATGCTTAGCCAATTATTTCTTCCAATAGCTTTTGTTTTTATTATCTTGTCATTCAATAATCAATAGCCAGTGAAGAAAAATGAAAATTGTTGACTTCTGGAAGTCAGGAGTATTTTTATTATTACATACTGTTCATGACAGTTTTTAAAACAAATCTCATACAGTAACAAATAATCCCACTAGCTGTGTATAACCCCTAAATTGTAGGAAGAAATAGGCAACCGCAGGAGATTTGGAACCCACACGTTTCCCTCACCTCCTCTCCACAGGGCTTTGCCTTCCAGTGTCTACTTGGCCTTCCAGTGTCAGACAGCTTCTTGCACCTGACCCACTCAGCTGAGGACACAGATGTCAAAAAAAAAATCATAAATACAGAATTCCAGAAAATTTTACCAATATGTTATATTTGCTGTGGTTGCTTTATAGATTTTTAAAAATTATTGGTCCAGTAACAGGTCTGAAATTTAACCCTTCTCCTGCTTTTGAAGCATTTTTTAGGTAAGTAGTTTTCATGCTTTGATGTATATCATCAGAATTACCTGGGTGGTGGATCTGGAAATGTGTATTTTTAAAGTTGGTGTTTTTATTAATAGACTTTATTTTTTAGAACAGTTTTAGACTTACAGAAAATTAAGGCAATAATACAGAAGGTTATCCACACACACACATAGAGTTTCCCCTATTAACATCTTACATTAGTATGGTACCTTTGTTGCAATTAAGGAACCGATATTAATATATTATTATTAACAAAAGGCAATAGTTTACTTCAATTTCCTTAGATTTTACCTAATGCCTTTTTTCTGTTCTAGAATCCAATTCAGGATCCCATATTGTGTGTTTAGTTAATATGTCTCCTTATGCTGCTCTTGGCTGTGACCATTTCTCAGACTTCCCTTGTTTTTGGTGATCTTGACAGTTTTAAGGAGTACTGTAATATTCAAGTGTTTTGTAGAATTGCCCTATATTGGAATTTGTCTGATGTATTAGTCTCGAGTTATGAGTTTGGGGAAGGAGGATCACAGAGGTAAAGAACCACTGTCATCATAGTCTATAAAGGGTACATGTTGTCACATGACTTATGGGTGTGGTTGACCTTGAGCATTTGGCTTCAGTAGTATTAGACAGATTTCTACGTCGTAACGTTACTCTTTCATTTCCCCTTTTCATAACGTATTCATTGGAAGGAAGTCACTATATGCAGCCCACACCTAAGGAATGGGGAGTTATGCTCCCCCTCCATTAGGATGTAATCTACATAATTTGGAGTTTTCCTGCATAGGAGATTTATCTCCTCTCTATAATTTATTGCTTTATTCAATAATTTCTTTATGTCAGTATGGACTCATAGATATTTATTTTATACTTTGGGTTATACTCTAAAGTGACTTTATTTATGTTGTTTCTCAAAATATGCTAGCTTTGGCCAGTGGGAGCTCTTTCAGTTAGCTCATGTACACTTTTGACGTACCCCATCTGTGTGTGTGTGTGTGTGTGTCTGTGTGTGTGTGTGTGTGTTGAGTATTTACTTACCTTCTGGCACTACAAAATGCTCTACAGTCATTTCATGTAGTCACTGCCCCAGTCCTAGAATCAACCATTTCTCCAAATAGCCCTGGCGCCTTTTATTGAAGAATAGTATAAGAAACCAAGATTTGAGTGCTTGGTGTGCTCCTTACTACTGGATGTCATTTCTTTTACACCTTGTCAGCTCACAGAGCAAAGAAATACATGTGCATATAAGAAGCTGTGTGTGTAAATATACAGCTTGGAAACACCTGTATCTACTTTAAGTTAAACATGAGTTCTTACCGATGTCATCAACTCTACTCCATTACCACATGGATCATTCTCTCACTTACCTATCATCTCCCACTCAAACAGTAAGGAACCTGGCTCCCACCATCTGCAAATTCTTTTACAAAAAATTAATTGTTCAATTCCAGCAGACATGTATAGCAGTATCAGAATTGTTAATACTTCCATGAGAAACAACTTTTTAAAATAAAATACACTACTTAATGTGCCTTTAGCCTTATACACCCCATTCATTTCCAAAGTTACCTATGTCAGTGCCTTTTCTCCCTTCAGGGAATGAAATATTATTATGATATATATAATTATAATAAAAATATTATATATATAATTATAATAAAAATATTATTATTATTTGTTTTTTGAGATGGAGTCTCACTCTGTCTCCCAGGCTGGAGTGCAGTGGCACAGTCTCAGCTCACTGCAACCTTCGCCACCTGGGTTCAAGCAATTCTCCTGCCTCAGCCTCCCAAGTAGCTGGGATTGCAGGTGGCTGCCACCACGCCCAGCTAATTTTTGTAGTTTTAGTAGACACGGGTTTCATCACATTGGCCGGGCTGGTCTTGAAGTCCTGACCTCAGGTGATCCACCTGCCTAGGTCTCTCAAAGTGCTGGGAGTGAGGGCATTTTATACATTTATAATACAATTAGATTCTCTTGCCACAGTCTGCATTTTCTCCTGGGATCCCTGACCTCCTAAATTATTTATTAAATTTGCATACATTAAGGCTTATTCTTTATGTTGTAAAGTCATATGGGTTTTGACAAATGCATAATATCATGTATATATTGTCACAGTATCATACAAGATAGTTTTACTGCCCTAAAACATCCCTGTACTTCATGTATTCATGCTTTCTCCCACCCCAAGTCCTGGACAAACCACTGATCTTTTTATTGTCTATACGGATTTGTCCTTTCCAGAATGTCATACAGTTGGAATGAGAAAGTAGCCTTTTTAGACTGGCATCTTTCACTTACCTGTATGCATTTAAGCTTCCTCCATGTTCTTTTGTAGTTTGATAGCTAATTTCTTTTTATTGCTAAATGATATTCCATTGTATGGATCTACCACAGTTTGGTTATCCATCCATCTATTAAAGGACATCTTTATTATTTCTAGGTTTTACAATTATAAGTAAAGCTGCTATAAACATCTGCGTGCAGGTT
This sequence comes from Homo sapiens, assembly GCF_000001405.40. NCBI lineage: Eukaryota > Metazoa > Chordata > Mammalia > Primates > Hominidae > Homo > Homo sapiens. The sequence continues at coordinate 89,285 of NW_017852928.1, forward strand.
TGTGAACATAAGCTTTCAGCTCAATTGAGTAAATACCCAGGAGTATGATTGCTGAATAGTATGATAAGATTATGTTTAGCTTTGTAAGAAACTGCCTGTCTTCCAAAGTGGCTGTACCATTTTGCATTCCCACTAGCAATCAATAAGAGTTTCTGTTGCTCTGCATCCTCACGATCATTTAGTGTTATTGGGTTTGTTTTTTAAAAGATATTAGTCACTCTAACATATGTGTAGTGATATACCATTGTTTTAATTTGCAATTCCCTAATGATGCATGATGTTAGAGCATCTTTTTATGTACTTCTTTGCATATATCCACTTTTGTAGTGTCTGGAAATTTGTATTTTTTAACGATTCTTCTGAATGATTCTGATGAAGACCAAAATTAAAGGGCCATTATTCCAGACTCATCATTTGCCACTCACCTCAACTTAGCCACTTGCCTCCAATTATAGCATCTTAGATACCAATAGGGACTCTTTCCCCTTTACCTCACTTCACAGCGAAACATTTTGGTCTTTAAATTTTCACCACTTATAATGAGCAATCTATTTGAATAGGAGGGTGATCTATTCCCAAAGGCCTAAAAGGGAGGTAAACATGAGGATGCCTATATCTGAGGATGGGCTAAAGTTTATACTTGCAGCTTATGGACTCACTAATTTTTACAATTTGATGAATTCTTACTCACTGAAGTTTGATTCTATGGGCCATGGTCATCTGGCCCACCTATCCAGGATCTCTCCATGTGAGGATAGCGGGTGCCATAGCTTTTGATTCACAATTCAGAACACATGATTTTTCTATGAAATTATAGATCTTTAATAAATGAGAATGTTTAAGTCCATTTGTAAACAGCATAGCACACAATCTAGAATAAGGCTTAAAACTCGAGTAGAAAACAGGTAGTTTCACTATAAACATCAATCGTTGGACATTGACCACTGAATCCAATGCTGTTTCTCTTTTTTCTTCTAAGAAGAAACTTTCTACTTTCCTTCATGCTTCAGATGTTTGAAATCTCAGGGCCTGTGCAACCCACAACTTCCTGGAGACATCACTTCCTACACTCTTCTCAGGAGCTTCAGAGCATTTTATTGTTTTCATAAAGAAGGGGTCCTTTACCTTCTTAACTCTCCTGATCACACAACCTGGTGCTCTGATATGTACCCAGGTCCTTCTGGAGGGGATTAGTAGTTCTGTTTGCCTCATGTTTCCTGTTTACTCTCTTTGAAAGTTCAGAACAGACAATCTTCATCATCATTATCACCTGGTTATACCATGTATACCTAAACATCTGCAGGTATCATTAACTGCCTTTTTCCTGCCCCCGAAAAAGACAGGGTTTGTATCCTTGGCAATCAAGTTCCTACTCTCTCACTTACCATCTCCCATGTTTGGCAGCTCTGGGGAGCTGTGATAATTTTCACATTAATTCCTTAAAATCACCTAGTAATTGGCCCTCCCCTAAAACCACCTCTGGGTCGTTGTTTTTATTCCAGGTTTTGACCAGTAATTCCTAAAAAAAAAAAAAACTGTTTTTAACCTCTCCAAAATTTTAAATAGGTTTACAATAGAAACATTCTATGGGTTATAATGTAGTTTCTTCACAAGGTCTTAAAGAATCCAGCAAAGGAAAGCAAGGTTATACCTACTGCCTTTCCCTAAGGAAGATAACCAATCTTCTTTCTTTTCTGTCTTCGGCCTTGGTTTATGTGGAAATCCATTTGAATGGGGACTATATTTATCTATATGATCTGTCTTATGTATTCAGTTTGGGCTCACTGTGAGAGATGTATATACACCTGTCAAATTATGACAATTGGTTATTCTTGGCTGCAATGCTGACTTAAGTGATGATCTTCCTCAAGTCTCATAGATTTCTCACCTTGTAAAAATACTAGCCTACTTAAATAGAAACACTGTGAGGATTAACTAATAGGTTGTTCTGAAAATGTCAATGTCTATAAACATTATTATTAATGAGTTAAATTATAAATATACATGTTGAAGTAAGCAAGCCCTTGATTTTAAACTCCAAAAGAATGCTAGTTTGAATAGTTTAATGTTGTTACTCCAGTATAACACTAGATTTTTAAAAATCTAAGACTACATTTTGCCCAAGACTATGGCCAATACACATCAAATTGGTTTTTTGTTGTTTTGTTTTAATTACCTTTAATATTCACATTAAAGAATTTTCTAGAATCCAAGACTAGGCAATCTTAAAGATCATCATACTTTTACCCGGAGTGGGGTTATAATTGTATAACCACTTAAAAATCTGGTCATTCAACCTCCCATTAAACTCTAGAATAGCATTCTACTTCATATGAAGACCCTTTGAAGTGTTCAGTGAAAACTAATTGTTAGAAATGTCTTTCTGTAAACTGAGATGAATTCCATTGAATTCCTAATCTTTGGTCTGTGTTCTGGAGCTAAATCTTATCAATCTTCTCCATGACAGCCTTTTAACTATTTGATGACAGTCGTCAGAGCCACACGAGTGTTTTTTTTTCTCACAGCCCCCAGATCCTTTTTTCATCCTTAATGTGACATGGTTTCCTGAACTCAGCCTTCATCCTGTTTGCCCTCTCAAGACAGGCTGCAATTTCTCATGGTACCTTTCAAGCGTGGTGCAGAGGACTGATGACAGAACCCTAGAAGTAGCCTCCGAGTGGGAACTAACACTGGGGCCCGCCTCCCTTCCTGTCCCCCTCCCACCTGCACAGGAGCCCAGCTGCAGGCAATGATAAGATGCTCTGCTTCTGGGCCCCGCTTCATTTCCTGCCTTCCAGCCAAGGGCTTCAACTGCAGACAATCAGAACTGTTCAGATCCTGGGGCCCCACTGTACATCCTTCCCCCTAAATCCCTGGGTGCCAAAGGTAGGTGCCAGTCAGCACCCACCCCCTCACCCCCAGCAACTGGAGGCCCATGTCAGCTTCAGCATAAAAATCTCCTTATGCCCAAGGGCTCCTTGTTCACCAGTAGTTCACCATCCTGACTGCACATTAGAAATCCCTGGGGGGCTTTTAAAAATATCAATACTGCTATACTACCCACAGATTCTGATAGAATTGGGCTGCTGTAGGACCCAGGCATGATACTTTTGAAAAGCTCCCGGGGAGTTCTAACGGACAGTCAGGGTTAAAATCCAGTGAGGAAACCCGGATTCCTCCTGAGGCTATGAAAATGTTTTATCTCCCCTGCCCGACTTATCACCAAGTCAGTGGTGATTTCTCAGTCATCCAGGTCATTACTGTAGGCACTTAATATCAAATATTGAATGAATAAGTAGCCTCATGTTCCTTTGAGACCCACACCCTCTGTGAATGATAAGCTGTCTGCTTCTTCAACCTCATCATTTGGTGATCTCTTGTCAATTCTCTCATATTCATCATGAACTTTGGCTTGCCATCCTTCTCCTCCATCTTTTCATCACCTGCTTGGGGACCAGCACCCACACAGACTGTGTTTCCACATCCTGGCCTCCACTTCCTTGATCTCAACTCCAGTGACCTTCATCACCACCCCACCAAAGACACCTACACCCAAGACCACACTCACACTTTGTCATCATTCAGAACATCTTCCCCTCTGAAATATTAAATCCCACTGTTCCATTCTAACCATTCTCTGTCAAGCTCTCACTCTTTTTACTCCATCTCAATCATTCTTTTTTACCCCCTGGTCAAGCTTTAAGAAAGAGTGCTTTTCACTTTTTCCAATGCTTTCACTCTTTTCGGTGCTTTCCAATGCCCATTTTGCTATCTTCCACCTACTCCTCAACTCACTTCACTCTGTCTTCTCACCTCATCTTGTCACCAAAACTCCTTCTTCTAGGGATACTTCTAAATCTTCATTTACTGGAATGCTTTACAGCATTTAGTGCTGAATATAGTCACTCTCTCTTGAAACCATGTCCTCACCCAGTTCCTGGAGCCACACTCTCCTGCCTCACCTATCATCACCTATCTCACTTATCATTACTTTTCAGTGTCCTCTGCAGGCTTCTCTTCTTCCACCAGACTCCTAAATGTTGCTGGTCCCTAAGACTCCAGTGTGGTCCCATAATGACATTTACATTTTTAAAAATCATGCCCATAGCTTCAAATACTGCTTTTAACAGGCAACTTCCCCAAATAAATATCTAGCCCAGACCCCTTTCCTGATGTATGAATTGAATTTCAGTTCAATACATATCTCCAAAAGAATATCCCACAATTCTTCTCAAATCCAGTGTATTCAAAACTGAACTCATCATCTTCTCTGATAGGAATTCTAAATCCAAAAGGGACTGCAAAGTCTATCTGGTTCAATTTTTATCCTACAGCTTCAAGAACTCTCTAAGAACACAAGCATTGCTGCCCAAGAGCTACCTTGTGGTCCATTTAACTCAATATCTTCCTGATGAGACTTTTTGGATTAATCTCTCTCCTGAATTCCCTATCTGAGCATATGACACCATCTTCACCCACTTGCCAAAGCAAAGAACTTGAGAGTCCTACTAATTTCACCTTTCTTTTAAGTCTACATCCAATCACCAAGTCCTATTACTTCTACCTCCTAAAAATCTCCCATTGTTCAAAAATATTTCTTGAGCATCTACTATCTTCCAGGTACTGTTCTAGACTCTGGACAGAGTGGTAAATAAGAAAGTGAAACTTTGCCCTCACCATCTTCGTACTCAATATCGATCAGGGTTTGATCAAAAAAGCAGAACCACTCAGAGTGATAAGAGGTTTGGCATATGGATTTGACCTTATACAATCGTGGGAGCTGGTTAACAAGTTTATGTACAGCTGTTGCTTCTTCATTTGGTGCTGGCCTGAAGTCATCAGGGTAGGCAGTCAGGAAGGAAAGATGGACAGGAAGTGGGGGAGAGCAAGGACAAGCTGGAACCCAAGAGGACAAACTGGAATGAGTGTCGGTCTCTCATCGCCTCCAAGCTTTCAATTTCAATGATGTGGGTGACCTGCCAAAGATGCTGGCACCCTTTGTCAGGAATCTAAACCCACGGCTGGCCCAGGAGTTGGACACACTGAAAGAGGAGAGCTGGCAGTGGTCACAGTAGCTGCAAGCCCAGCGGCTGCCTCATGCCAAGAAGGTGAGCCAGCAGATCCTGGACTATGCATGTGAGCTGCAGTAGCTCCTGATCCTATGCTGACTTCCTGTGACAATGTGGCTGCTGCCTCACTTCCCCCTTCCCAATCCTAACCATAGCCATCCAGGGAAAGGAATTCTGGGAAATCTGTTTTCAGTTAGCTAAGCTGACCTAGTGCAAAGCCACTCCCTGCATCGTCTCTCCCCTGAATCATGTGGCTCTACCTGCTGGTAATTGGTCCCACTCTAATCAGTCTTTCCCAGTGTCTTCAGGAGATGGTTCTAACACGCAACTCTGATCATGGTGCTGCCCATGATCAAATTCTCCACCACCTGTCCATCAGCAACAGCATGAAATCTAAACTCCTTTGCTCAATGCATTAAAATTAGATATATCTGTAAGAGACAGAAAACTCAAAATAACAGTTGTTTAAACAAAACAGAAATTTCTTTCTCTCTTGGGTAGAAATCTGGGTAGTGATTTATGGCTGCAAAGTTTTTCATGGCTTCAGGAACCCAGGATCTTTCTATCTTGTTTTGTATAGCCAACACTATTTGCTTTCCAGAATTTAGATGGAAATGGGGACAAAGACAAAGACGAGTAGAGAGAGAGAAAGAGGGAGAGATGCTGTCTTGCTGTCTGTCTTTAAGGGCAGACTCCCTGGAGCTGCTATGTGACACTTCCCTTTACAGAATTTAGTCAACTGGCCATGCCTACATTCAAGGGAGCTTGGGAAATGTAGTGTTTAATGCAGGCGGCCTTGTGCCCTGCTAACCTGTCTATCACCAATTGAAGAGGGGAGAAAACAAATAATGGAGACAATTAACAGTCTCTCCCACACATGACATATAAGATTCCTCATCTCCTGTTCCTGCCAACGCCTCTAACCTCATTTCCTGCCCATCTACCTTTCCTGTTTTAATAGCAAAACTAGAATACTTGATGTTTCACCCTACACTCCATAAACTAGTATAGTTTCCTGACTTTGCACATGCTGTTTTCTTGCCTAGAATCCCCTCCACTCACATGCTGGGCAAACACCTACTTATCCTCCAAGAGCTCATTGGCTATTTGCCTCAGATGTTCCATCCCCCTACACACCTCCTGTTTTTGAACAAATACCTATTAAAATTATTACATCATCCTATGACAATTGTTTGTCACCATGTCTCTCTCCCTTCTGCCTGAGTTTCTAGAGTGTAGGGACTGTCTTTTTAGCCCTGAATCCTAACATGTGGCCCAGTGTCCACTGCGTAATACATAGGAAATGTTTGCAGAATGAAGATATGCAGAGTACAATGGGATTGTACTTTAATCAGTCCATATGTTGTATTTCTATGAATGTAGTCTGAAGCCAGCCACAGTCTTCTATGGCTGTGGAATTGCTACATATCTTTTTCTGTTTACTGAGACAGGATCAAGACAGAGACTTCCTGACAAACAAAAGAGCTTGCCTGAGGAGAGAAGTAATTGCTTATTTATCTCTTAAACACAGTACTGAGGGCAAGCACAGATGGCTCCCTAACTCTCCCTGTGCCTTTAGGAAAGAAGACAAAATGTCACAAGTCTAGAGCCAAAATACCATAGGATGCTTTAAGAAGGTTAAAAAAAAAAAAGGGTCCCAGGTAATAACCAAAAAATCAAAATGACAAACATCTCTCATGGGTAAGACACAGAATTCTTCTTAAGGATGTGATAATGTTGGGAAAATGACCCTACGTCCCCTGGTAAATAATTTCTAACCTCTCTATAGCATCTCCTCTGAAACAGGAGGGCCTTTGAGATACAACTCTGTCCCCACCCTCACCCCACCATATTTACTGTTCTTTTGAAAGGATATAAAAGCTCTTCCTTTGACCTCCAAATACTCAGAGGATTAGGGAAAACCCTTCCTGGCAATTATTAGTATTATAGCTATCATTATGTTTTGCTGAAAAGGAAATATGAAAAATATATTTAATAAAAGATATTTTAAGAGAAAACAAAAAACAGTTTAGAAAACTAAACTGTCCTATCTAATGTGACATTCAGGGGCTCAAAAGTAGAGTGTTCAAGCAATTCTAAGCCTTGATTGTGTTCTCTTACACACCATTTAAAAGAACAGCCACAGGAGAACATCTTCTGAATTATTTTAGGTAACTATTGACAACCCTTTGCAAAGCCGCAGAGGCTGCTGGTGTTGGTGTAAACCAGAGTGCCCTTTAAACCAGTAAATTCCACTTGTAGGAAATTACCCTACAGAAATCATCACTGTACACAAAGCTGCTTATAGTAAGATATTCACCTCATCATTATTCATGATAGTGGCAAAACTGGAAATAAATATCTCATAATAGAGAATCAGCAACATATACCATGCAGCTATGAAATGATGCCATAAAATATTTATTGTTATAAAAAGATGTTCGTGATGTTAAGGAAAAACATGAAGGTTATAAAAGAGATGATTTAGTATGATCCGAATTTTATTTTTAAATGAATTATTACCATAGAGTACAAAATGCTTTCCTGGGCAAGTGCTGGCCCTGATTCAGGAGGCTGGTGGATTTGCAGGCCCCTCACCATATACCTATTTGCATTTCAGCTTGAGAATTACAGAGTCTCTGGCCACAGTATTTATGCGCCCTAAATCGAGAAAGAGAGAAAAGACTTTTAGAAAATCCCAAATACTTGTGAGATTCAAAGTTTTTGTAAATTGTCTGAAGGATTGGAGTGAGAGGGCAGACCAAAAGAGTAGTGAGAATTCTGAATGGAATTCCCCCTGTGGGGAGGAGGAATCAGGAGTAGTAGACAGGTCTTGGCCTCAGGGTTAAGGATCAAAGGGAGCCTGGTTCTAGGTCAGGATAGTGGCCTCTCTCAGAACTCTCCCCAACTCAGCTGTCCTGGAGACAGATTTGTATCAGAAGAGCTTTGGCCCTCAGGGGCCAGGGCCTATTTCTGTGAAGCTCAGAAAGTAAGTCAGACAAGTACTCCTTCATTCTAGATGTCCCAACACTGTCGCCTGCCCCAGCAATGGTGGTCGATGCAGCAAGTAATAGGGCCAGCAGGAGGTGGGGTCCAGCTGTCCAGATCCCTGAGGGGATGCCAGGGCCTCTGCAAAGTTGGCAGTGATACCAGCTTGTCCCAGTGGTCGGGGCAAGGGCCACTTCGCCATTGACACCAGACTCACTGGAGCACAAACAGCTTTGCTTTCGAGAAAGAGCCACTCTCACCCTGTGAGAGTGACATTTGAATCTCGGAATTAATAGACAACATCAACATTTTTGTTCTGCAACTTCAGAGCCAGCTATTCCCAGCTAGTGATAAACTCTCTGGGGAACTGGCCCCGTGACCAGTGGTGGCCTCAAGAAGGTGTCTGAGTTCCAACACTGCCTACAGATACAAAGATCAGGACAACTGTTAGGAATAAATGAGTGGCCTCTGCAATTCTCAGAAACACCAGTGGAAGAAAGAGGCTGGGAAAAGCTGGCCTTCCTGCTAATTTGGCTAAAGAGAGGTCTGGATGTCATAAGTGTCAATGTAAGCATGGCCAAGTCTAGGGAAACTTGCCTATCTACACTAGTTATACTTGCATGGGGGATGGTGCAGGGGGAAGGGGAGAAATAGTGGACAGCCTGTCCAGAATGATGATGAATCTTTCTCCAGTACACACTTGCCCCACAGACTACGTACTATATCTAGAACAAAAATTATCTGATGTTTGGCCTGCACTGTTATTGTACAGAAAAAAGTATGGATGCACTCAGAAAAGGGTGCCAGTGAAACTGAAATTAAAGGGACATTAAAAACTGCTTTGAAATTTTTACTTATAAGAGTTTCAAAAGAAACAAAAAGGCAAATTTAGCCTGGTATTCTGGAGGGCTTAATTGTGACAAGCGACCATAATTCCGAAATCATCTTATGATAGTCCCCTGAGCCCCTCCCCTTGTAAGCATTATGTGGACTGGGATTCCATGCCCAAGTCCAAATGCTTCTGTCTACTTGGGGTATGGGAAGGTGGAATCTCCTGAAGAAGGGGTAGGGATAAGGAAGAGATGGTTACGGCAGCAATTGCATGCCTGGATTGGGGATGGATGTGTAAGGGGTGGCCCACGAATGGAGTACAACCTCAGCCCATCTAAAGTACTTGCCCAATACTGCAGGTGAGAGGCTAGGGACTTTCTGGATTTTTTTTCTTGTCCTCGTCCTGAGTGCAGATCCTGCCAAAAGACAGAACCTGCTTCCTCTCCTAAAGCTGTCACAACTGGAACACCTTGTTTAAATCTTGGAAACTTTTATTTTGAAGTGTGGGAAAAGAAACTGAGGAAGAAGATCAAAGCAAGGAGTAACATTATGCTCTTCTGAAGTGTAATACAGTCTGTGTCAGGGAAAAGGCATAAAATAGAGAGACAGGAAACTTCACCCTGAAAATAACACCATAGAAAGAGTACTCTGCTTAACATTAACAGCTGATTAGAGCTAATGATTAAGTGTATCATCTCTAGGTGACCATGTGCTTTATTGTTCAAACCAAGATAACTTAGGCATGAAATGGAGTCCTACTAATTAATATTTACACCTGAGTAATAGGCATAAAGCCAGGACTGTCCCAGACCAACCAAAATGCATAGTCACCTAATCATCTCTAAATCCTATAGTTCGTATGCTTCTTCTATTGGGTTACGGAAGAAAAACAAGGCAAAATTTCAATGTAATATGAACTATGGCATTCTGAATAGATGCACCAAAATAGATCTGTGTTAAAAAAAAAAAAAAAAAAAAAAAAGCTACAAGTCAAGGATATTCCCGACTAAATGCTAGGAAGCCAGGTGTTTTAGGTGACTGTTTTAAGACATGGGTATTATCAAATGCATATAGGACTAACCAAGATAAAGAAAAGATGGCATTCTTCTGTCTTGTAGGGGTCCAATTTAAAAGTATGGCCCCAGGGATCCTGGGGCCACTGTTATATTTTAGAAATCAATGGGAAAATGATTAATGGCATAAATTGTATGAAAATGCTAGTTTGTCTATATGACCTAATTTTATTTGGCAAGACCTTGGAGGATCATGAACATAAAATTGCTCTCCATTTGGGAGAAACAGGCTTCCTGTTACATCTTGACAAACAGCAACCCTATTAGATCCTTAGTTCAAAAACATGTAGGACAGACAGAATTGCAGCAGGGGCAAAAGTATCTCTGCCATTGTTGTCAGCCCAGTTTCATCAATGGCAGAGGATCCAAAACCTTCTTCAAGTTCAGGAGTCTGAACTGAAGTATTCAGGTGAGAACCATGGCATTATTGCAGAAAGGAAGACAAAAGGGACAGCCCGTGGACAGAAAATCCTACAGGAACCCTGTCACCCCAGACCTCCTGGAAACTCTGTGGGGAATATTTCTGAATATTCATTCATGTCCTTGGCAAACTCCTAAATCTGAGTTCACGAGCAGGCATCTGTTGACACATCTCCTTCAAGCTCTTTATTTTACACCCTAACCTAGCTCCAGAGGTTAGGAGCCACGCTCTGCCTTTGCCAACTATTCTATCCAGGATTGAAACTCAATACATTCATCAGAATTAAACTTCCTGCTGCCAAAGTACAAGTACACACAGCTGAGAGTCAACAATGTGTTTATGGAGTTCTTCTCTGAGTATGGACTAATAACAGGCCCTTAGGGTACAAATATATTACCAGCATCGATGTAATATTACTGGGAGATGGCAGAACAAATCACAGGCAAAAGGTGAAATAGCTGCTTTCACAAACACAAAGGGAAGATAGAGTCCTAAAATTGCTTTAGGACTCACCCAAGAGCATATTACACCACAGTCCATGAAGCAATTCTGTCTACTTCATCTTAGACAAGATGAACAGATGCCTTATCGAGGACACTGGCACATGAGGGGCTATGGCCCAACAAAACATGGTCACAAGGAGATAGACCACCATCAGTGGGAGAGAACTCCACAGCAGAGGGAAATACCTGCCCAGGACTTGCTGGTCAGCTGCAACCTTTGCAGCACACAGCGCCTGGGAAGTTAGCTCCAGAGCAGCAGAAGAAAATGGCATATGGGATGAGATAGCTGAAGCTGCCGGGTTCCCAAGCACCTATGAGACATCCCAAGGGCTCTGCAAACACATGTAAGCTTCTTTCAAACAAGCTGGAGATTCAGAAAGTGCAAGAAGGGTAGAATATTCTGCTGATGTGGCTTAGAAAAGACAGGTTCCACAAATAAGACACTGTTTTCTTTGTTTTTCCTCCAACTTGTGTGATTTTATGGATGATGTTTTTAGCTACAATTATATTCAACAAAAGAATTATTTTTGATTATAGTACTTGTTCTTTTATCTCCTATTGCCAAAACAAAGGCAGAATACAAAACAGTATGTGCACTGTTATTAAAATGATCTAAAAATACGCAAGCAGAAGGACAAAGAACACAAGGTAAAAGATATTATTTTTAGAAAACTTAGAGACATCTGATATTTAAAACCAATATTTGTTGTTTTTATACATTTCTAGTCGTGATAACTCTTAGTCACTGATATTTCAGAATGTTTTATTCAGAAATATTTTTTCTTATTTTTTAAAAAATTATTTTTGGTAGAGACAGGGTCTCACTATGTTCCCCAGGCTGGTCTCAAACTCCTGGACTCAAGCAATCCTCCTGCCTCAGCCTCCCAAAGTGCTGGATTACAGGCGTGAGCCACCATGCTCGGCTAATTCAGAAACACTTTATCAAAAGAGTTTAGAAAGAAATAAGGTTATTTTTCTACCTAAAATAATGTCAGATTTGGCAAGTAATAATATGCTAATATCTCAGTGAGTCTCCCCTATTCTCAAAATGTTGCATACTAGTTTCATATGTGTTAGGAAATAGGTTGTATATCTGAGTGGCAAAGCGACAGTTCTTAGAGAAAGAAAAACTTTTCTCTTGGAATGTCATCTGTTCAATATTGGCAGTTACAAAAGTATTATCCAGAAGTGGGTTGAAAAATGTGGCTCAGAGTCAGTCAGTTATTAAATGAAAAGGAAAAGCTACCACTCTGGTCTCCTATCTCCTAGCCCAGTGTCCTTACAAACCCTTCCACTGCTTTGAAGCACAGCTAAAACCTATGCTGTATGTATAATCTGAGAGCAGAAAGATGCTTATTGCAAAAGATGTATACATTCCTCATTGGACCATGCCCAAATAATATTTAACAGCCAAATATTTCAGAGGAAGTTCTTGTACCTTTCACAATAAGAGATGTATAGAAATGAAATACATTCATTCACTCTTAGTAGACCAACTAAAATGAGAATGAATGGACAATTTTGGATATTGGCATACTGGGATATATGGGAAATCCTCCAGAGATGATGCAGTGGCAGGAAGATGTTCACAGAAAACACAGCTGTTTTCAATATTAGAAACCCAGTGCACTGACCTCATGAGAAACAACTTGCACCACTTTTTTTTTTTTTTTTTTTTGCTTTAACAAATAGCAAGGCCCAAAGGTTGGATCAACAAATGAGATTCCAAGGAACTGTTTTACATCAGTGTAGGGTCTGGGCCTGATGACAAGAAGTCATCAAATGGTTGTTGCACTTGGAAGTCTAGGATGTAAGACAGCATGAGCCCCGATTCCCTTGCCAAATAGGATTACATGCTCCTTCCCTGATAGTCTAGGTTCCTCAATATCCTTTTGAATATGGGATTCAAGAGATTCCAAAAATTCAAGAATTTAGGACAAAATATATTACTTGATCAATGAACTATATTTGATTGTATTCAACTCCTGTTACAAACATTTAACTTTAAGGAAATGAGAAAATATTCCTTAGGAAGAGAATACAAGATTGGAGTGAAATCAAAGCTATTTTCAGAACAGTGAGTGGCAAGGCACCCATCCTTTCATCAGGTAGATACACAGTGATCCAAGGAAGCAGGCTGGGAGGATGGGAAAAACAAAATATTTTTATATTTATGTATAAATTAATCCCAAACCATATCTCCATCTAACTCCTCCTTCCCTCCCCATCCTTGCATCATATACCTACCGATAGAAAAATAAACAGTGGAAGGGAGTTAAAATTAATCTTCACTGAACACCTACCAAGTACCAGAAATCCTAATAAGTGCTTATTCATGCATTCATTTACTAAAAATAAAATATTTTAAGCATATTCCAAATGTGAGGCTCTCTGTTAGATGCTAAGGATACAACCCTGAATAACATATAATCACTGACCTCTTCCCAAGACACTTGGGAAGGCTAATAGGCAAATACGCAATTACAATACAATTAAGGCTTGCTTTCTTGGAGGTATATACAAAATATGGTGGGGGCTTAGTGGAGGCAGTGCCTGAAGCTGCCCATGAGCAGTCTGGGAAGACTTCTCAAAGGAGGTAGAATTTGAGCTGATATTTAAAGAGCGAGTAGAAGTTTTATAGGAGTTGACAGTATTTATTAATATTTCTAAATTTAATCCTTATAATTCTATGAAATACATGTTTATCTTCCCCATTCTTCAAGTGAGAGAACTGAGACTCAGAGATATTGTCTAAGTTCACCCAAGAAGGTAGCAGAGCTGGGATTTGAAGCCATATTCATATGACTTCAAAGTACACATTACTTCCACCAGGGAAACTACCTCTCTTTCTTCAAAAATATGTTTTCAGGCCAGGCTTGGTGGTGCACACCTGTAATCCCAGCTCCTTGGGAAGCTGAGGCAGGAAGATAGCTTGAACCCAGGAAGTGGAGATTGCAGTGTGAGCCAAGATCGAGCCACTGCACTCCAACCTGGGTGACAGAGCAAAACTGTGTCTTAAAAAAAAAAAAAATATATATATATATATATATACAAATATATATGTATGTATGTGTGTGTGTGTGTGTGTGTGTGTGTGTATATATATGTTTTCAATCATATACTCTTGTTTTTTGTTTTTGTTTTTTTTCCTCTACCACTGCTATTAATGTTCATTTTAATCTAATTTTACTTTATACAGAATAGAGGAGTAGATCATCATGAGAAAATGTATTATATGTTTTATCCAAGCTATATATCCTAAAGATGACCCAGGACTCTCTATCAACCAAAGTAGGAAGGTCTTGAATGAAATATCCCATCTCACAAAACAAAAAAATATCCGACAGTGTCAAGGAAAATTTTACTTGCTCCATTTCTCTACCTGGGTACCCCATGTCTAGAAGTTGACTTCATATAACTCTTGCCTAAAATCAACAAAAATGTAGGACATAAACTGTAGCCAATTTTCCCACTTCCCAAAAAAGCAACTATTTAAATTTCCTCTTATATCATGAGGTCAATAACATAAGATATTTAATATAACAAGTTAAAAAAAGAGGTAGTGGTGATATGCCTTCTGTTCTCCCAATAATTGCTCACGTAACTTCTACTTTGAGGTTTATGTTGCCTTCATATTATTTTCAAGTAATTTTTTCTAACCCCACATGTCTAAGATTTTTGTCAGCTGATCAGGACCTTCACTTTGTCACATGGATCAAGAACTACTCTAGTGACCTCTTAATTTGGAAAATGAAACTAACCAAACATGCAAGAGACAGGCATGGTCCTAAATTATCACACAACTCTTAGGATAATGAATTTCGAGTCTTGATCACATGGGTGTTACTAAAACTCCTACCCAAGGATTGCTTTAAAATGTTTTATAATGATATGCATTTCCTTTGCACTTAATGTGAAAATCCAATATGTAGAAAGTAAAGACAACCCTTTTCTACTCATTTATCCAGGACAGCTAGCCACACGTTAAAGTGGGCAGCTAGAGGCAGGCATAGAGTGAGAAAGAAGAAACGGCAGACTAATACTGGACATTCCCCCACCTTCCTCCTTCTCCTCCTCTTTCTCCTGCTCCTTTTCCTCCTCCTTTTTTCTTCCTTTTCCTCCTTTTCCTCTTCCTCTTCCTCCTGCTCCTTCCTCTTCATCTATTAATCCCAGCTGTCGCATAAGTCAAGATTGATGTCAACTTGTAGGGAGGCTTCCTGTAGTATGGCTTAGTACTCATGCCCACAAAACTTGTCCCTCTTTAGTCTAATTTTAAGAGTAATTTCTAACCTGAAAATACCTGCATATACCCTGACTCCTCTTCCATGCCTATCTCCACACAAATAAGAATCCTGGATTCCACCAAGCCCTTCCCCAAATAAATGGAGAGAATACTGGCAAATGGTTACTTCCTCCAATTCACTCTATGCCTCTCAGCTACCTCGGGCACCCGTGATTCCATTAGAAATAGTGTTGCAATGACCAGCTAATCCTTCCCCTTAATCATCTGGGATACCGAAAGACATCTCATCAACAAAGACTGCTCTTTGCTAACGTGAAACCTGTGTTACCCTTTCAATCTCAGCTGCTCATGCCAAACCCCTAGTCTAGTCTATTTTAGTCCAGTATAGATATAGTATAGTATCTATTGTATAGATATGCCTAGGATAGAATAGACAACCCATGACTCCCATCTCATTCTTAGGCATCCTCCACCAGCAATCAGTTCTCATGCTCTAAGAGCACCCATACTGTTGAGTCTTCTCCACATCCACCTACACACTCCAGCTTTTCTCATTACCTTGTCATTTAATTCCCATACCTCATATTCCACAGAACACTTTTCTGTCTCTCAGCTGCAACATCCATACAGTTCCCTTTCTACTGTCTTCCCCAAACTTTTTCTTCCAGGACATACATGCCGGCTGTACTGCATTCTATTCCTCTCACTACTTACTGCCTTTTACTGTTGCCAGGATCACCAACCCACAATTTCATATTGAGAACTTTGGAATTTTGTCATCCTCATGAATAATGTTAACCTCCCTGTGATCATACATTAGATTCAAAATTTATTAAGATTCTGGATGGTAAGAGCCTTCATTCACACTCTACTTCAACAACTCACTCATAAGAATAAGAATATTCTAAATGCACATTTGATTCTGAAGCTCTAGCAAAATAAAATTCTTGTTCCTAGCCTACCTCTGTCCTATCTTTACCAAGAACTACATGGGGGTACAAGATGACAGATCAACCAAGGAGTCAGGGCCTTGGCCCTAACAACAATCTTCCTTCTGTTAAACCATATAAATAATCCCTTCAAGAAGAGGCTTTCCTCTTACCAACATAATTTAATCAGTCATCAAAGTCCTGCTGGCTTTACTGCCCAAATATTTCTTTAAAATTTTTCTTGCTCACTATCCCTACTTCCATACAGTCAATTTAAGACTTCATTATCTGTTCACCTACACTACTTTAATAATCTCCTAATTTATGTCCTGCCTGCATTATGTCCCCTTAAACCTATTCTCCAGTTAGCTAGAATGGTGTATCTAAATTGTAAATCTGACCATGTCACTTCCTTGCTTCAGTGTTGATATGGAAAACCTAACCCTCACAAGACGAAAAAAGAATAATTGTAAATATTAGCAGGAAAAAGTTACCGTGACTTTCAAAGTATCACAGTTGTCTATCAAGAAAATAGAATCAACTGATGAACTATTATAACTAACAAGAAGAGTGACAATTTGGCCAGTTAAAAGCATAATATATAGGAACTGATAATTTTCTTACATACAAGTAGTAGCCAGATATAAAAAATAATAATGAAAGGGTGGTACTATTCACACTAGCAAAATAAAATATAAAATATCAAGAAATAAATTTTAAAACAAATGTGCCTAATGTGCATGAGAAAATAAAAACACAAAACTGCTTGAAAAAATATAAAGACCCAAAGAAATGAAGATTCAAGCCACACTCCTGGGTAGAGAGATCTGATACATAACAATATTAACTGTCCTCAAATTCATCTGTAAACTGAATGTAGTTCCATCAAAACTCCAGTAGGATGGAAGGAGGAGGAATAGACAAAGCTCAATAGAATAAAATTTAGAGCCTACACACAGAGCTACAGATATATGGGGATTTCGTATATGAAAAAGTAAACATCTTCAAGACAGTGGGACAAGAAAAAATAATCCAATGGGAAAGCAAGTAAATAAATATCACTAAATCCCCATCTCACATCATATACAAGAATTTATTCCAGATTGATAAAAAACAACTTAAACATAAAAATAAGTGACTACAAGAAAATATATAATATTTTATATTGTGAGATGTGGAAGGGCTCTTTCAACAAAATATAAAACCCAAAAGTCATTAAAATATATATATATATATATATATATATAGAGAGAGAGAGAGAGAGAGAGAGAGAGAGAGATTTCACTATATAACTAGAATTCTATATGGCAGAAGACACTATAAGCAAAGTTAAAAGGCAAAAGTACAGATTGGAAGTAAAGATCTTCAACAAGTTTAACAAGCAAATAATTGGTATCCATAATATGTAGGAGCTCTTTAAATAATAGGAAAAAATTTAAATTGAAAAATACACAGTACATAAATAGGAAATTTATAAATAATTATGGTGAATAAATATTTGAAAAAACAATCATTCTCACTATATTAAGCAACATTATAACTGAATGTTAGTTTTGCCTTTATATAGGTAAATATTCTCAAAAAATTTATAGTACCCTGGAGAAATCAGTAATCACATACTATTGATAGGAAGACAAATTGATAATCTTTTTGAAGAGCAATTTGATTTTTCCTTTTAAAAAGTTCATATTTTACTTATATAAATTTATTCGTATTCCCACAACTACCCCCCAAAACACACATTTTAAAATCTTCTTTACAACATTATTTGTAACTGCAAAACTTGGAAGCCCGACTAATATTCATCAGCATGGAAGTGGTTAAATACACTTCAGTACATCCACATCATGGAACACCAGGTGGTTTTTCAAAAAGTAGAACCATGTGTTGTAATGCAGAAAGATACTCAAGAATTATTACTTAATTCAAAAAGAAAGCTGAAGAACAATGTATATGTAACATAATCCCATTGTGATAAAATTATAGCATGTACAGAAAGTAATTGGAGGAATGGGAGCTGAAGTGTTGACAACAGTTATTCTGGAGTTGGATTTGGTGGAATTTATTTTGATATTATATTTTGCTAATGTTTGGATACCACCAACCTATGTATTATATTTATAATCAGCAAAAAAACAATGGGCATCATGACTTAGGAAATCCTTCATGATCTAGAAACTCTCTAGCTTTCCAATCATCTTCACTTCTACCTGCCTGTCAATTTATTCTCTCGCCACATGGAATTATATGTTGATTCTTGTTTACAACTTGCATATATTGCCTTGGTGATGCAGTGACGACCATCCCCCAGGCCATGAAGCCTCAGACACAAAAACACACCCAACTCTTATTCATCACTCCACACTCACCTGAGCTATCTCCATCTCCAGAAAACCTCACTTACTCCCCAACTCCCCACTCTGCTGGCTTAGGTGCTCCTCATCAAAGCAATCCCAGCATATTTCTTTTCTTACATTCAATGCTGTAGTATAATTACCATTGAGTGTGTCAATCTCTCCCACTAGACTAGAGCTCCATGAAGGTTTATCTACACAGGACTTGGGGCTCTGAGTTATAAACTTCATGAAGGCATAGGCCATAGCACCATTGTGCACTGCTGCATTCCTGGTAACTCCCCAGTTATCTAGTAGACAGTAGGCAAATTGATGAATGAATGATAGATTGTGAATGAATCATGTTCCCACCTGGCTGCAACTTTGCAGTCATTTCTTTGGTGGACCTAATTCAATGCCCAACCCATATTTAAGAATCTTAGTTTCAAGAATTTATATCCTAGGCCTCATTCAGCAGAGACAAAGAAAAACAGATGCACAAAGATGTTCATAGCAATATTTTAAACAATAAGGAAGAAAAGTGTAGGTAATCCTCCAACCAAAATGTCTAACTTTAGACATGGATCTCTATTAAACACACATTTATTAAATATCTATTCTGTAGTAAAAGATAAACGAGATGTAATTTCAGTAATTGGTTGAATTGTGCCCTCCAAAAAGAGATGTTAAAGTCCTAACTCCCAGTACGTCAGAATGTGGCCTTACTCAAAACTAGGGTGGCTGCAGATGTAATCAGTTAAGATGAGATCATGTCGGAGTAGGGTGAACCCCTAATCTAATCTGACTGATGTCCTGATGAGAAGATAAGAGAGACACACAGGAAGAACACCATGTGATGACAGAGGACAGACTGGAGAGATGCAGGCACAAACCAAGGGACACCAAGGATTGGCAGCCACTACCAGAAGCTAGGAAGAAGCAAGGAAGGATTCCCCTACACATTCCAGAGGGAGCGTATTTGCAGACTAATAGACTGATAGACTTCAGAGCTGCAGAACAATAATTTCTATTGCTTTCAAGCCACCCAGTTTGTGGTACTTTTGATAGGACAGTCCCAGGAAATTAATACAGTCCCTAACTTCAGAAACTTATAGTCCAATAAGAGACAAACATACAAACATGGAGTAATAAGACCAAAAAATAAAATCATGCATAACATTCAAGGGTAGTACAGAGCAGTGGTTAACTCTACTGGGGATCCAGGTGGGGAGAATTTGGGTAAAACTTCACAGATAGAGCAATGTTGATTTTGAGCATCCAGGATAGCTGCATGAAGACCATTGAACAAGGTCGGGGGTGGAGGATGAGAAGATATTCTTCCAGCATAGGAACCAGGATCTGCAAAGCCTGGAAGGTGTGAAAGGTGCTTTGGGTCCGAGAACTGCAAATAAATAATTCATTACTGCTGTAGGCAAGTGCAAGTGAAATGGGGTGAAAAAATCCTAACACTCCCCACACCCCCACAAAGAAAATGCAAGAAGAAAGAACAAGATCCCGCAACACCTTAAATGCTGTGCCAAGGAAGCTGGGATTTATCCATTCCATGATAGGGAGCACTGACATTTTGAGGGGAGCAGCTTGGTCAGATGAGAAAGGTCACCCTATGGGCAGAGTGAAGAAGCAATCAGGACAAAATAGCAAGTGTCACAAGCCTGAGGGAAACACAAACTGAGAGGCTGACTTTTTTTCTTCTATCCCTCATGACTCCCTTTCTTTCTACCCACATCCTCTACCTCTCCCCCACACCCAGTCCAGACATCAAGTTTTATGAAAAATGGAGATTAGTCATTCTTCTCTGTGACACAGGGTCATAATTAATACTAATTGGTATAAATGTGAGAAAAGAAACAAAAACAACATTTCACTCATTATTAAGAGTTTTATAATTATTGCAGCATTTTCCCAAATATATCCTCAGAGCACTTCTGTGGAGGGGAAAAATGTCCCATAATCAAATGCTTGGAAAACTCTGGGTTAAACAAAATAGAAAAATTCCCCCGCCCCATGCTTTTTCAGAGCTCTTATTATGCTCATTTACACAGTGGCTCTTCAAGAGGATACAGTTTTGTAAAATATTTCCCTAATGTATCTGACCTCAGAAACTTTTTCTGCAAATGATCACTTTCCAAACTGGAGCACACTTTGGAAAATGTTGAGTTGAATTAGAATTTTCTAATGAAGTAGTGATTTCTCTCAACCCCCTTTTCTGGAATGTTTAGTGAGAGATCAGCCCTCTTAAGAGTGATATGAGATTTCTCTATTGAGTGGTATAGACTAAACTACCTCTGAGGTCACTTTCAACTCAACATGCCATTACTCTGCGGCTATTGATGATTTCCTCATGCCTGCAATCTGATTGTTCTATCTTCAATATTTCATTTTATTATTGATTTTTTAAAAGGGGGAGGAAGTTTTCCCATTAATTAAATGGCAAACATAACTGGGCAATAAGGATTGGATTTTTTTTCCCCTCAACCTACATAAGGTCATTCACTCCCAGGATCAGACTACAAAGAGTTTTCTTAGTCGAGAAATGCAATCTTTGGCCCCACAGGGAACTTCCCGCTCCAACACCGCACTCAATTGTGTGGCTCCCTGTCAGACATGCACCTATGGGACTCATAGCACTTTATGCTACTCCTGATTTCTTCCAAAAATGAGAATCAAATATTTTCAAAGGAATGCTGTCACCGATGATGCTTGGAGGAATAGGGGGAATGGTGACAAAGACAGTCATTGTGTAAGGGCATGCTGGGGGGACACACCTGTTGCCACTAGAGTAGCCAAGAGGATCTGTTGTGGAGTGGACTCATTCAGAACTGAGGACGAGGGGCAGGAGGAAACCAAGGGAGAAAAATAATTCACTCCTGCTCTATGGCAAAAGAGGGGGGAAATACACAACATTTTCTGATCATTTGACAGTTTGTAAAGAATGTTTATGGAGATCGTGCCACTGCACTCCAGCCTGGGTGACAGAGCAAGACTCTGTCTCAAAAAAAAAAAAAAAAAAAAAAGAATGTTTATCCATTTCTTATTTAATTTTTAAAGCAATCCTACATGGTAGATAATATTCATCTCATTTTACAGATGGAGAGGTAAGTGGCTTACCCAAGGTCCTAAAAATCAGTGTAAGAGTTGTCATTTGGACTGAAATCTTTTGATTACAATTCCAGTGTTCTTTCTACTATATTTTCATATCCCGATAAGACTTCTTGTATCAGGTTAAAGTTCACTGTATACAACAGGACACACTCTAGCCAATTTAAACTGAAAGATAGCCATTTCCAAGTATTAGGGTGTCTTACAAAATCCTAAATATGGGTGGATTGAAGACCTGAGTCACCAGAAAAAACTCCCAACTCCAGAAGCATGCTGCCTCTGCAACAATCTCCAGAAAGCTTCCCCTTCCAATGGAAGAAACTTGCCAAAGGAGTAGACCGCTGACCGAAGACCCCTGGTACTCCATCACAGTCCCTTTCCACCCAAGAGATGCTGGGCAGAGTTCTGCATCACTCAACTGCACCTGATGGGAAAAACCTACATTACAACCAGAACCCTTAGCCATAAGGGAGTGATAGAAATGTGGTTTTCAGCTTTCTAGGCCCTGCTGTACAGGAAGGCATACTAAAAGGACATTAGAGTGGATATGGAGGGGTATCTGCCATGCCATGCATAGATAAAATACTTAGAGAAACATGTATTTTTTAAAAACAAACAAAATACAAAATAAAAGAGCTAACTCGGGTTCAATGACAAGTTATAAGCGACTTTGGAAAGCTCCTGGTGGTCCACTGACCCTACCAGTCATTAATACCCAGTTACATGTAGGATGAGTCTAAGTGACGATGGAAGACATGGAGTGTGCATCCTTCTACCTTCCCTTCCCAGTCCTGTAGCAGGCATTAGTAATCAATCACATCACTTTTGTGCTATACCTAGATCCGACCTCAGATTCCTTTTCAGGACAACGCATCCTGCAGGTAGGAACATCAACCAGAATGATGGTAAAATTGAAGTTGAAGTGGAAAATCATTCATTTAGAGACTTCATAACATCTGCTGGTCTCAGACAGTTATTACCACAAAAAAATTATATTTTAAAAAAACACAAAACTCAGTGGTTTAAAGCAACCGTCATTTGTTATTGTTAACACATCTACAAGTGGGCTGACCTAGACTAGGCATGGCTGAGCAGCTGTGCTCCACATGTCTCTCATCCTCCTTGGACCAATAGGCTAATCCAGGCATGTCCTTCTCATGGTGATGACAGAGGCACAAGATGGCCTGCGGAAATGTACAAGGCCTCTTATGGCCTACGTTTGGAATCAGTACACTGTCACTTCTACACACATGACATTAGCAAGAATAGATCACAAAGCTGAGCCCAAAGTCATGGAGTAGGGAAATACATTTCAGCCACAATGAAGCCATAGCAAGAGTATAGAAGCAGGGAGCAGCAAAGAACTGGATAATGCAATCCATTAATACAATCTACCATAAGGCCCTCATGAAAGATCATTGTCGGCTCATAATAAAATCTGTAATTTTCAGTGCCAACAACCTTGAAAAATTCTGCCTTATTTCATAAGGCATTTACCCATGTCAGCTAACAATAGAAGTGAACGATTGACCCTAGGAGCATTGAGGTGAGCCTGAAATCCACTGGTTGCAGAAGTGTTACCCTTGGGACTCTAAGCCAACACATAGAACTATAGCAAGAGTGGTGGTTATATTAAAGTGGCTAAGATCATCATCCTAACTGAATTAATGCAGGAACAGAAAACCAAATACCACATGTTCTCACTTACAAGTGGGAGTTAAACATTGGGTACATCTGGACACAAAGATAAGAACCATAGAGACTGGGGACTACTTAAAGTGGGAGAGGGGAGGGGAGCAAGGGCTGAAAAACTACCCATTGGTACTATGCTCACTACCTGGGTGATGAGATCATTTGTACCCCAAACCTCAGCATCATGCAATATCGCCATGTAACAAACCTATATGTATACCCCCTGAAATCTAAAATAAAACTTGAAATTGTTTTTAAAAAATTACTATCCAAAGGAAAATATCAGTGCTATGCATCTGAAACCTAAGAACAATGTTTTATTAAAATTACAATGACAAAAATAACTATCTATTCAGTTATTTGCTCTATTTGCTCCCTGAGAGGCACTTACTATAATCTCACAGGCATTCAGTGACAGTCACTTTCATTTAAAGGCTCCGATTTGCTTCTGTTACTCAGTTCTATTTATGAGAGAGGCTACTATGTTTACTACGTGAGTTTGATAGTCTTAAAAACACAAATATAACTTAATGGTAATCATAAGTACTGAAGTATTTACGGTGCTGTAAATTTTTGATTTATTGATGCAATAAATAAAAGAATTGCTAAGAAAGAATGTTTCAGCCATACAATACTGTGAAGCATGCCATTTTAACTACAGATCTTCACAATGTGAACAGCAATTGTATAACTTGATGGTATATATTGTATTCATAAGCAACATTTTAACACCAGTTAGAAGAAAAATATGAATACATTTGCTGGCTTCACCAATCCTATAAATGTCTTTGAATAATTTTTCTACCAAGAAAGCCAAATTTCTTGAACTGTTGTTAAACACCATCAGCATATACAATTTGTATTTGTCCATTTAAAAATAAATTTTTAAAAAGATAGCTAAATTTCAAAATACTTGTATTCCTGATTCCTTCCAATACACCTTAGTCTCAGAACTTCCAATAAAGATTTTCGTGCCTTGCTCTTTCTTCATGCTCTCATCTACAATCATTAAAGACCACATGGGGAGGAGTGGAGGGAGAAGAAAGATCGTTTTAAAAACTAGGTGGCAGAATCCTTTTAAAACAGAAGGATCATTTGTAACATATTGGCTTTTGATTGTAAAAAGATCCCCCTTAAGATGGGTTCAGGATAGGCCACGGATGAAGTAGAGATAACTAAATTGTTCTACATAATAAATAAGTTTTTGTGGAAGAGGTAGAGGGAATCTGAGAACAGTGTAGAAACTCAGGGAGAAGATAAGATAGAGAGACAAGGCAAGTACAGTGGCAGGAGGTTGATACCAGAGAAGAGATCACTATGGAGAAATTCAAAGTTGTGGGCATGGTGGTCCATCTTGATGAACAGGGACAGCTAATATTCTATTTCATATTACTCTCTGGGCTCTGCTGCAGTGTCACACAAACCTGACATCAACCTCCAAACCATCATCATCTTATTTCATTGAAATAAGAAAAAGAAACTGTTCCCTTTAGGTTGACCAAGAGCAAAGTAAGAAAAATATTCATGAAAGATGAAATACCTCAAGGAAGAACTTGGTGGAAGCAGAAAATGTGAGCAAGAGATGACTAGGAGAAATGCAAATAGGATTGCCAGATAAAGGATCCTTAGTTAAGTTTTAATTTCAGATAATATTTTTATAAAAATAAAGTACATCCCAAATATTACCTGATAAGTTTTTATGCTAAATACAATTATATTTTTATTTGCTAAATCTGGAACTCTAAATGCCAGCCTCCTCCACCCAAGAACCTTCTGCTCTACTGAAGGGAGTGTATATTTCTCTTTTTAATTTGGCTTCAAGCCAGTTGTATTTAAATTCATTAAATATACCTTCTACCTTTCAGCAGACAGGAGGACCTGAGAAATTTTGGACAACTGATAAATAGGTAAGTGTATCAAATTACCTTGTTATTAGCTAGTAATCAAAACTAACCCAGTCATCCACAGCTAAGCACATTTTCTATTGCCCATGTCTTTTTGGTGGTGTTGCAGCACTTTAAAAAGAGGACTATTGTCCCAGTGAGTTTTGCTCCTGTGCTACAGAAAGAACAAAAAGTAAACTAGATACAGTCTTCCTTTTGACATTATGGACAAATTAGATACCCTAAACAACTCTCTCAACTGAATCAACTAGAATTCAGAAAAAAAATGTGGTTTAAAAAATACTTTAAATGCATCACTGAGCAGGTATAAAAGAATCTATAGAATCCAAAAATGAGATGAAAGCAGGAACCCTGAGTGGTAAGCAAGTACCAAACCCTGCAGCGAGAGTTTGTGCTGAAACCTGGAGACCTGGAGACACATTTAGAAAAACTGCACAGTACACAGGCAGGAAAGGTAAAATCACAGGTACTATGCAAAGCAGAGAATCAAATGGGAGACCCCTTTATAGAGCTGAATTTGCAATGGTCTATACTCTGAGAATAAAGGTAATGAAATATAAATGCCTCCATGCATGCAGAAAGAGACAATCTGCCTCCACCTTAATGATGCATGAAAGGGAAAAACAGTATTTTTATTGAGCTCTCATAGCCACACAGGGCTCTCAGGGGGTTCACAGACTAAATTCATATCAACTATGCAACCCAGAAATTCTAGCAGAAAATTTTAAGTAGCCCCAGGGGACTCTCTGGAAAAGAATGATGGCAGCAACCAGGTGGACATGGGCAGTTCCAACTACTTTGGAGGTTGAAACAGGAGGATTACTTGAGGCCAGGAGCTTGAGGCTGCAGTGAGCTATGACTCCACCTATGAATAGCCACTGCACTCCAGCCTGGGCAACATTGCGAGACCCTATCTCTTTAAAAAAAAAAAAGTTGCTAAAAGAAAAATAATGACAGCAATCTGAAGTTATTGAAGCTTCCCAAAACTCATCCTGAAAACCAAATATAACAGCCTAAAAATGCTGGCAAATGCTTGCTACCAAAAGAAGAGCCCACCCAAGTGGCAGCCCAGGAAGCACACCTGAGAACAACTGGTGAAACTGAGAAAAGTCTTCATAGGCATCAGGTCATAGAGCAAAAACTACATGGGGGAATGAGAGAACATCCACAGTATGACAGTCATCCCAGTCATGACAAATCTCAGAAATTGTCAATAATTTCCAACCAGTACCTCCCATTAGCAAACCCACCAAAAGCCAGCTGACATGGAAACCTGTGAAACAAGGTGTCAACTTCCTACATTACAGAATAAGGCAAGGGAGAGACAAAAAATAGATCCATGAGCAAAAAGCCAAATGACCAGCACAGCCATCCTTTTCCTTACCACTACGCTCATGGAAGCACTTGTCAAGGAGTAACAATTAGCAGAGCCTCTGCAGACCTAAATTGGACTTGTATTGTGTTAAGCCATGGAGATTTTGAAGTCATTTGGTTCTGCAGCACAACTTAGGCTTACCTTCACAGGAACAAAAATTGGTATCAGAAGTGGGATTCTGCTATAACAAAAAAACCCTCAATATGTGACATTGCCTTAGTGGTCCATTGGTCAGGAGCAGTTAAACTGTAATTAGAGGCTAGAGTGGCCATTCATTTTATGCTTTGTGGGAAGCATTTGATAAAGCTGTCATTATAGCAACCTGGAAGGCAGATCATATGTCTAGTGAATTTATAACCCTAGGGGAAGAGTTCAGAAAACAAAATGTTATTTATATGTTTTGGTTACGATTGTCTACATTCAACAAGGAGCCATAGGGATGGTGTGAGTTCACAGCAGATTTGGCTGGCTTGCAGAAAGGAGGAAAAGAGATCTGGGACTTATACAGTACAGAAGGCAATCTTCTCAATCTTAAACAGTAAAAGATAACATTGAAGAAGTTTGGGCACAATAAGGGCCAATTAAAACTCAGTTTGGGGGCAAAAATCCAGACAAAGGTATGGACAGCAGAATTCAGGGATAAATACCTTCAAATTGATTAAAGGCTGGTAGTAAAGGTTGAATTAGCAGTGTGGTAACCAAGAAATGCTTCACTGGAATAATGGCTCAGGGGAAAAGATACTGTATCTGTCTAGGATTTGAGGCTGTTTTTTAAATGCAAGTTATACATATTTGCTCATGTTTGCAAAAAGAAGGATAAACCAAAACTTTTTTTAAGTAGTTAATTATTGGAAGGAGAAGGGGACAGTGTTGGAAGCAAGATTTATCTCAACATACTGTATTATATGGTTTTATTTTTGAATCATATAGTTGTTTTATATATTGTAAAATACATAATTAAGTTAAAGAGCAATCCTTAGAAATTGAATAGAAACAGAAATGAACTTACTTGTATGTCAGTTGGTTACATAACATAGAGAAAAGTATTTCAAGTGACTTTAGAATACACTGATTTGATTGTAATTATTTAGTAGAATATATTCTAAGGATAAATAAGGATGCAAAGAAATCTTTAACCTCATCCAATAGTCTTATGGTTAATATAATATTTGCTATTATTATTTTGAAACTAATTAATATCTTCTATAGGATAAATCAAATAAAGACTTATATTAATATTATTAGGAACCAGAATTTTCACTGTGAGATTTTAAATATACAATTTAAAAAGTCAAAGAAGTAAAAATACTGGGTGTTAAGTTGGAATTAAAATCATCAGTTTGAACTCAGAATTTTTGCAGTGTTTTCAAAAAACACATTTTTCTTAGCTGTGTCCCTGAAATTGCTTAAAGGCAATAACATTTTAGTACCAATAAACACTGCTTGCACCTTGATTTTGGTGTGTAAATACTATTCCTCACCAATGGAAATTGGGCTCCTTGGAAGAACAGTTGATTTCAGGCCTGAGACAGGAAACATAAAGATGCTAGAGGATATTGTGAACAATTTTTTTTGTAAATTTGAAAGCCATTTGAAACATATCAACCCCCAGGGAGAAAAGTCCTTGCCAGCAATAACCAAAGAAATAGAAAATCTGAATATTTCTATAACCATTAAACAAATTTAATCAACATTGTAAAACCTCCCCACAAAGAAAACTAGGCCCAGAGAGCTTTATAGGCAAATTCTAGCAAACATTTAAGTAAATAATTATTCTAATCTTACATAAACTCTTCCAGAGAACATTTAAAAAAAATTCAACTCAAATTATGGGCTACTGTTACAATTGCACACCCAAACCAAATGAAGACAGCACAACGAAGGAGATTTATCGCCAAAGTCAGGCTCTACTCAGGAACACAACTGTAAATATCTTAAGGAAAATATTAGCACCCTGAATCTCAAAGCATGTAAAATGATAATACAACATGATCGAGTTGTTTTTCATTCTCGGGAATGAAAGTTTTATTTAAAATTAAGCGCTAATTACTATAAATTAATCTAAATTTTTTATCTCATTTGACATAAGAAAAGCATTTAATAAAATTCAATATTCATGATTAAAAAGAATAAAACTCAGCATACTAAAAATAGAAAGTCTCTAACTTATTAAAGGACATCTAAAAACAACTAATAGCAAACTTCATTCTTAAAAGGAGTGCTTTCAGCATTGTACTATCAGCCACCTTTAGACACAAATCATGAATGCCCATTTACCACTACTTCTATTTAACATTGTACTAGAGATCCTAGCCTGTACAATAAGATAAGAAAAATATGAAATAAAATAAAGTAAAATGAAGATTTGAAAGGGAGACACATGTCAATATTTGCACATTATATGACTGTTTGCATACAAATCCAAAACCAGTACAAAAAATTAGAGTAAATAACAAATTTTAGCATTGCTATTTACCAAGTTCATATAAAAATGTCAATTATATTGCTCTATACTCTCAGCAGTCAGAAACCAAAATTTAAAAGATATATTTGATATATTTTTTTAAGAAAAGATACATTTATCTAGGAGGAAAAGCTAACAAAAGATGTAAAAACCTTTTACAGAAAAAAATATAAACCTTTATTTCAAGACCTTGTGAAAGACCTAAACAAAGGAGAGATCTGTCATATTCTTGGACGGAAAGAGTTAATATTATAATGAAGTTAATAAAATGATCTTTAGATTCACTTACGTACTTTAAGATTTCCAAAATATTGTCCAGAGAAACATACAAAAGGAAAACAGCCATAGGAAGAGAATAGCTAACAGAAATTTCAGGGGAGTTACGTTTGGGTGGGGGCTGGGAAATGAATTAAACTGGGACAGGGGTCCCAGGAGCCTTCTAAAGTTTAGTAATATTCTGTTTCTAAGCTGAGACATAGCTATTCAGGTATTTGTTTTATGATTTTTTATTAAACTGTATGCTTGAGTTTTAGACACCTTTGACTGCATATTTCAAAAATAGTGATTTTTTAAAATAAAAATATTAGTAATTTAATTTGCCCAAACTGCCAAACAGCTACGGTTGTCTACAAAATACCAATAATGTTAGTCCATTACACTTGGAAGTACCAAAAGGGTATGCAGTAGATCTTGTTCTTCATCCCGTTTTCCATTGTCTAGTACAGCACCTGGATGGAGAAATAGCTCCATAAATATTTTGTAATGAGTGTATAAACAAAGCCTCATTAATTCTCTATAATGGCATACATCCAAGCCAAAGCCAATTATTCTCATCCTCAGAACTCTGCTTTTCTTGTTCATTTATCTCTAAGCCGTGCTGGTGCTCCTATTATTTCCTGCCCACTGTCTCCTGGATTTCCTTTCTGCTGAAATGCTTAACTCACTTCCTTATATATATTTAATGAAGTTGTCAGCAAAGCCCTTTTTCATCAGTCAGCCTGGCTTGTTTGACTTAAGGTCTTATTAGCATGCCTAATTCCATTTCCAGAAAACACAGTTAATTAAGCTACCAAATCTGTGAGTATGGCCCAGCATCACTCTTGGCATTTAATTTATATTTATACACCAAGGGAAAATAGTGAACCCAATCCTCTTCCTAGGACTTGAGTAATATGGCAAGAGAACCAGGACTTTCTTGGGAGTCCATGAAAAAGAAATGGAGGTGGTAAACAGAGCACAAAGGAAAATTAGGCTCTGGCATGAGTAGCAAGAGTGCTAGGAGCCCCTTCACCGCAGCCCCCAGCAAAAAAAACTCATGAGCCCATCCTGAGACTCAGGGCCCCCGGCTCAGTCTCCCTGAAAAGCTTCCATAGCACAGATTATTATAGCTCAGGAGGTTACCACATTTTTTAAAAAAATTATTATTTTTTATAACTTTTGTGGGTACATAGTAGGTATATATATTTTTGTGGTATATGATGTGTTCCATCAGAATATATAAGGGATTCAAATAACTCTATAGGAAAAAATCCAATTATCCAATCAAAAAATGGGCAAAAGATTTGAATAGACATTTCTCAAAAGAAGACATACAAGTGGCAAACAGGTTATTACATTTCTAAAAACAGCCTTACAGTGTCATCCAGCCTTCCAGGGGCTTATGCTCCTGAATGATTTTGGGACGAGGTGTCTTCTGGTGACTTTGAGAGTAGCACTAAGTGACTTGGGGATTTCCATGCTGTTCTGAGAGGAATCAAGAGTCTGGAGAAGATGACACAGAACTGACGCACAGCCAGGCTAGGCCACTCCCAGGAAGCCCAGGGACCACAGGACTCCATCTGAGGCGCCTCCTGCAACTCCTCCCTATCTTACCCTCCAGGGTCCAGGGCTACATGTGGAAGTGAATTTCTGCAATAGGCCCAGAATTCCCCAAGGAAGACATACAAATTAAACTCTACATGTGGCTCTGGGTTAATTCGACATATTAATGTAACAAATTCAAAGTAGGAAAATAAGCTAATAAAATTATAGTTTTGGAGTCTCAACTGCTTCCCAAGGCAGTTTTTTTTTTTTTTTTGACAGAATTACAATGTTGAAGCAACTTCTAGTTCTAAGAACATGTCCCTCTCTAAACAGCACCAGCAATTTGTGGCCCTGGTAAGAAGGAAATCAGGTGATCTTACTTTGCCTGGCAATCAGGCTGCTTTCTGGACTTTGGAGATGTGTGGCTAAGAGAATTTCATGCAACTTCTCTCAGCCTTACTTTTTCCATCTGTAAAATGGGGATCATACAGCCCTCCTAGAGTTGTTGAGAGGGTTAATAATATGATATATATAAGATGGGCTTGTAGGAGATCAAAATATGCCTCTCCAAAATATGTCACTTTGGCATAAGAATTATTTTGAGCTAAAGGCAGCTGAGAAGAAACAGACACAAGAAAAGCTCTCTGCCCTCCTCCTATTTGCCACAAAGCAGGACATAAATTTACAAAGGTATCCCTCCTCCCCTCTCTCCCAGAGAGGGCAAATTTAAACTTTTATCAGCCTAGGGATGGCACCAGAGGAATCTATACAACAAATTTTAGTAACCAGCCTTCATCTGCTATTAGTTTACCATATATTTGCCATCCCACAATTTGCTTCCCCTAGAGACTCAAGATCCTTTTCCTTTGTCTATCACTAAAAATGAGTTGTCCTTTTGCTAAGATTTTGTAAAAACTCAAGTTCTAACCAAACCTTTGAGTTACTCATCTCTGGGTACTCCTATGGGTTACATATGTGATATACATGTTAATAAACTGCTGTTTTTCTCTTATCAATCTGTCCTTTGTTACAGGGGCCCAGCTGAGAATTTAGAAAGGTAGAGGGAAAATTATTTTTCTTCTCCTATAGGTTGCAAAGAGTAGGTACCCAATATACTATAGCTATCTGTATACTAATAATAATTTATAACATTAATGTGTCTTTATTATTCCATCCCACTCTCACCAGATTCTGGGTCTTCCTCCCCCTGCACCATACCACCAGCCCTATTTTTCCAGACGTGCTCCATAAAACTAAAGCATCAACTCTGCAATCAGAACATCCTGGGTTCCAATTCCAACTCTGCCAACTAATAGGGGTACAACTTTAAGCAGTCGTGTCCTTCCTCTAAATACCATGGAATAGTAATAGGACCTCCTCAATTCCTCAACTCAAATTCCTGTTATCCCAATGCTGATTATCTTCTCCAGGACTTGGAAAGAGATTACCTTTCAAAACCTGCAATTTACCCTAAACAAATAAATTGCTAACAGCTTTAACCCTAATAATAGGTTGTTAACAAGACAAATCTCTAATTACTGGAGATATTGTAAGAATACTCTTGAACACGGGGTTCTCCCTGGCTCTTTGGTCCCTCTTTCCACACTCTTGTGTTGTAGAGTTGCTCAATAACTGTTCCAGACTTCTGAGAGGAGTCCAACACCCACTCCAAACTCTCAAAGACCGAAAACAGTGTTTCTGTTCATATTCTTAAAAGAATAGGACAGTGTGGGGTTATTCAGCAATTATTTCCTTGATGCAATTTCTTTTTTAATTTTTCTTTGGCAGTTGTTCCCTCATCTCTTAATTTTGACAATTTGACATATCTCATTAAAGATATTTCTGTAACCGAGAATCACTATTAGCCTATCTCCCTTGTGACGAAGGATATTGCTCAGACTCACTTTGCATGCGTACCCTAGGCCTTGTGGGAAATGGGGTGTGGGAAGGCTATATGAGAGCAGGCTAATCTGGCTGAGTAGCAACAATGACTCTTGTAGCACTTTTCCTCCATGGTAAAATTCTTTAACATTTGTAATGAATTAATTGGGGAATCACCCGCTACCAACTCCCCTCCTCCCCCACCACCAGCACCACCACCACACCCACACACACACACACACAAATGCTGGACTATTACCTCCATAATGCTGGATTTGATCACCACAATATATCCAGCACCTAGAGCCAATAAATATTCTTAGTATTCACCAATAAATATTTGTTAAGCAAATTTAAACGTTCCTATAGGAAAAGATTCTATTTCTCTTTCCTTGGAAATGAATCCCATTTTAGGTTGGGATTTTGATAACCAGGGGCCAATAGTTTAGAACATTGAGAAAAAAAGGAATCAGATAGCTTTATTATAATAATAATAAAGGGAGGCCTCCCTGACTGGTCAGGCCGTATTGTACACAGCAAAAAGCAAATCAAAATAAGTCTG
Organism: Homo sapiens; assembly: GCF_000001405.40. Classification (NCBI taxonomy): domain Eukaryota; kingdom Metazoa; phylum Chordata; class Mammalia; order Primates; family Hominidae; genus Homo; species Homo sapiens. Next base: position 122,476 of record NW_017852928.1, read on the forward strand.
TCTTGTGGACAGGTGGCTCTCAAAGAAAGTGTATTAGTTCATTCTCTCATTGCTATAAAGAAATACGTGAAACTTGTGTAATTTATGAAGAAAAGAGATTTAATTGCTCACGGTTTTGCAGTCTATACAGAAAGCATAACTTTCTGTATAGACTGGCATCTGCTTCTGAAGAGACCTCAGGAAGCCTCTAATTATGGCAGAAGGTGAAGATGGAGCAGGAGCAAGGGAGGGGGACGGTGTCACACTCTTTTAGACAACCATATTTCGTGAGAACAGCACCAAGGGGATGGTGCTGAACCATTCATAAGAAATCCACTCCAATGACCCAACCACCTCCCACCAGGCCCCACCTCTAACACTGGGGATTACAGTTCAATATGAGATTTGGGCAGGGATATATACCCATATCAGAGAGTGAAAAGAGGAGAGTGGGCTGGGTGTGGTGGCTCACACCTGTAATCCCAGCACTTTGGGAGGCCGAGGCTGGTGGATTGCCTGAGGTCAGGAGTTCGACACCACCCTGGCTAACATGGTGAAACCCTGTCTCTACTAAAAATACAAAAAAAGTAGCCAGGTGCAGTGGCACACACCTGCAGTCCCAGCACTTTGGGAGGCCGAGGAGGGCAGATCATGAGGTCAGGAGATCCAGACCATCCTGGCCAACATGGTGAAACCCCATCACTACTAAAAATGCAAACATTAGCTTGGCATGGTGGTGCATGCCTGTAATCCCAACTACTCAGGATGCTGAGGCAGGAGAATCACTTGAACCAGGGAGTCGGAGGTTGCAGTGAGCCAAGATCGCGCCACTGAACTCCAGCCTGGGCAAGAGGGTGAGACTCTGTCTCAAAAAAAAAAAAAAAAAAAAAAGAGTAGGGTGATGGCTGAGTCACACAGGCTCAGCTCCTCCCCAAGTAAATCAAGTTGCCACCTCCCACCCTCCACACTTGGGGAGAAATGAGCTAAGGGATGGATTAAGAACAAGGCCAGAAGTGCTAACTGAGGTAAAGTCTTCCCACTGGGAAACATGAGGCTGTGAAATGGAGGTTCCCCTAACAAAAGTTAACAGTATGTCCTTTCAGAGACTACAATATCCCTCAGCTGTGGCCAGCCTCTCCTTTTGGCCTAATGGGTAAAGACACATCACTTTATCCTGGAAAGGCCCAGGCTCATTTGGAACAGCAGTCAGTCAACCGGGAATCTAGTGAGCCCCAAACAAAGGTTATGATGCTCAGCCTCCGAAGAGCCAGCCAACTCAGTGTGACATGGGACCAAGAGAGAGTCCTCCAGACCTGGCCCTCCAGCCTGCTCCATCAGGGGATGGGGAGGATGATGGCCTCCATGGCACCATCAAAGTCGGAAAGGCATCCATGAGGGTGCTTGGGCACACACGTATACACAGAGCACTAAAAAGTTGCTAGGCCTCTGCCCAGGCAGCTTGGGAAGTTTCCCCAGGTTCTGAGTGAATAGCAATGGAGCCTCTCACTGGAACCAGTGAGAAACCAGGCACATCCTGAAGGTCAAATAACAGCTTGAGCTTGTCTGGAAATGGGACTCGTCAAAAGGTTGCTGAGGGTCGGGGAGCAGGCAGGTCCTACACACTTTTTACAGCAGTCATTACTCAGCCTCTTTCTCCCGCTCCTCTCTCTCATTCTCCCCTTTCCTTCCGGCACCCTATTTCCCCACATGAATTCCCAGTGCCCTTGTACCTCATGTTCTCTGGTGTCCCAGAACCCACCCAGACCTGCCTCCCCTGAAGTGTCTCAAAAATCACAAAATTAGGTCATTTTCCCCATGATTACTCACATTCCCAAAACTCAGTCTCCCTCAGGGACGCCAAACTAGATATTAGGAAGGAGACATCTTAGTGAATCAACACATACAAAGGTTCCCCTCTTTTTGTCCAAACCATAACTTAGTAGAATTTCACCACGTGAGTAAATGGGGGCAGGAGAGCCTTTGCCATAGCCTTTAAGGCATAGTATTTGTTTCTCCCTTGAAATGGTAGGAGATAGGACCATCTGTGTGGTTTCTAGGTAACTTCTCTTCAAAAGAAAGAAACAGAACTTCCTGTATGTCCACCTTAGTCTTTATCTTTTAACTCTCATTGCACTGCCCTAAACTAACCATGGCCTTAGAACTCCCCAAGCCTGGTCTCCTCATGTGTCCCAACTTGAGGGCAAGGACATCTGTCACACTGGAACACCTGGGCCAGGGTAGAATCCTGCCTGAGAACAGGAACTCCAGAAAGCTACAGGGCACCTCTTTGTCCTTTTCAGTTTATTTTTTCTCCTTCCTCTGATTGACACGGCAATTGGATCAGATGAGTTCCTTGAATCCATTCTGCTGCCTTCTGAGCCCAGGACCAACCCTATACCTCTGTTCTCCTGAGATTGAATAATGACCTATGGGGTGCACCTGACCAAGGATCCCAGTCAAGCTGGAGTCAGACACAACCAGGAAAAACCACCTTTAGCCCCAGCCTGGTCCTCCATGGACCACACACACCAAGGGAGTTGGAAAAGCGGCTGATAATAATTTTTAACGAGTATCTACACAGTGGCATAGTAGAAGGAGCATGAAATTTGAAATTCTGCAAAATCTGGACTTGAATAGCTGCTCAGTCACTTGTTAGCAGTTGGTTCTTTTTTTTTTTTTTTTTTTTTTTTTTGAGATGGAGTCTTGCTCTGTCGCCAGGCCAGAGTGCGGTGGTGGGATCTTGGCTCACTGCAACCTCCGCCTCCAAGGTTCAAGTGATTCTCCTGCCTCAGCCTCTGGAGTAGCTGGGACTACAGGCATGCACCACCAGGCCCAGCTAATTTTTGTATTTTTAGCAGAGATGGGGTTTCACCATGTTGGCCAGGATGGTCTCCATCTCTTGATCTTGCGATCTGCCTGCCTTGGCCTCCCAAAGTGCTGGGATTACAGGCATGAGCCACCGCACCCGGTCAGCAGTTGGTTCTTAAATAAAGTCCATAATGATTTAAAGCCTCTGTTTTTTTATATTTAAAATAGAGTAGTGTACACTTTACAGAACTTCCAGGATTAAAAATGAAAATATGTGGAGTGACTTAAAACAGAGCAGGAGTTTAAGAAATCTTAATTCATTACAGTACTGAACGTCCAGGTGTCATATCACACAAGCCTTTCCACAATGCCATGAAATAAAGCACCAGTAGATGTGTCCCCCTTTAGGCTCTGGATGTGATCTCCTCTGGATGTAATTCCTGGGACCGATGCAGCGAGCTGCAATCCCACTGGGAGCCAGCCTGGGGCTGAAGCTGATACCGAGGATGATGGAACAGAAGATGAAAAGCATCTGTCTCTTCATGGTATCATCAAGCTCAGGATAGCAACATGCCTGGGGCCTGTATTTTTCTTCCTGTGGATTTCTTTTTATGGAATACAGTAATTCCTTATTGACTAAGCTGCTTGGCAGGACCAGGATTAGGGTGAGGCAAGTGAGGCAGGATTGTGCAAGGGCAGGATTGAATTCTGTCTTCATTTAAAATTTTAATATTTTGTTCATCATGGGTTTCTTGCAATGATTTTTATTTAAAAAGAATATTATATCAAAATAATACTTACCTTTCTTGTTAAGTTTGTTGGTGTCCCTCCTAAATTTTTCTTCCAAGGCTGGTCCCTCATTCACCTCACCCTACTCTTTACCCAGTTACTTTCATTTGCAATTTTCTTTTTCTTTTCTTTTCTTTTTTTCTTTTTTTTTTTTTTTTTACTTGCAGCCAAAATCATCCCCAGGGTGAAAAAAACGTGGTCAATTCAATAAAAAAATTTGGGGAAAACTAGTTATCCATGTGGGATAAATGTTAAAGTGAGAGTTTGACTTTAGAACAGGCCCAAGGAAGAGCCTATGGGCTAACACTTCATTGCGGCAAGGAGGAAGAACAAATTACTGAGCTGGCCACAGCTTTGCCACCAACACAGCTCATTGCTTGCTCTCACAGCATGTCTTCGGGAAGGCCATAGGAAACCACTGCATCTTGGAACACCATGGGAAAAGGAAGCAATCTAAATGCTGGCTTTTCCCTTCCCCTCCTTGCTATCATTAGCAGAAGCCCACCTGCTGAGGCTTTAACTCCCTGGCACTTCCTGGTTATGTTTCCTGACCCCTTGGAGAGCTGCTGAGGAAGTTAGAGGCTTCACAGGTCCCATGTGGCCTGTGTGGCAAACTCTGCTTGTCAGTCAATGCTGCACAGGGGGCTCTTCGGTCTGTGGCATTGGGGGCCATAACTTTACGACTATGAATGAACCATTGCCAGGGTTGCTCTGGTCAGGAAACAAGGCAGGTGGCCAGGATCCAGGGCAGTTGGCAGACCCAGATATATCTGGGGTGGTGCATAAACTGAGTTTGCTACAGATCCCCACCTCCTACTTTATACAAAAATAAATTCTGGGGCATTAAAGACCTATTTTTTTTTTTAAAGAAAAATGAACAATTAAAATACTAGAAAAAATAAGATACCTTATTCGTGGGTAGGAAAGACTTTCCTAAACAAGACACAAAAAGCAAAATCTTAAGGAAACACCTTATCAATTTGATTGCTCTAAGAATTACACTTTGTGTAAGTCAGTTGTTCTCAGCTGGGGCAATTTTGTACCTCAGAGGATATTTGACAATACCTGGAGACATTCGGGTTGCCAAACTCAGAAGGGGAGGCAGGGTCTGACTGGCATCTAATGGATAGAGGCCAAGTATGCTTCCAAAAATCCTACAACACACAGGGCAGACCCAACCCCACCCAGTCAAAGAATTATTCAGCCCCAAAGTCAGTAGTGCCAAGGTTAAGAAACCCAATCATAACAGTTAATAAACAAGTTAAAGACTGAGAGAAGTTGTTTGGCATATATATCCCAGATAAAAGATCAGACTCTAATAGAAAGAGAGACTTACAAATCAATAAGAAAAAGTCTCAACAGAAAAATGAGTATCATTTTTCATCTTTTCAACTGATAGCAAAAAAAAAATCCATTACTATCAAGTGATAAGGAGAACATAGAAGATTCTCATATTCTGCTGGCAACGGTGTTAACAAGTAGAGTTGCCCAGTATGGAAAGCTGTTTGACAGCGTCTATTAAGATATGAAATGTCCATGTCCCCCCAATAGCATATCAGGAAAAGCGCTGTGTACCTTTTTGGGGTCTGCTTCTTAGAACACCACCAACATGAGCTCCTCTATGCATTCCTCTTTACTTAGGATAGAATTTGGAACTACCTTCCACCTAGCTTCAACCCTGCAGACATGGCTAAAACATGATCTATGGCCATGTGAATGGAGCCAATGTTCCTCTTCAACTGCTCACATTGGGACTATTCCATGAGAGAACATAAACTACTTTGTTTAATCAGCTATATTTGGGGGTCTCTTTGCTGAAATAGCTTGTTCCTTCCCTGTTAGTATTAGTACACAATTGTATTAGTACACAATTCAGTGACAAGTATACCTTGTGGTTAGAGAATTAGAACATTCCCCTCTGTGGAGGGCAGCGGAGCTAAAGGTTGAGTTCATCATCAATGGCCAGTGATTTAATCAATCAAACCTATGTAACAAAACTTCCACAAAGACCCAAAAGGGCAGGGTTTGGGGATCTTCCAGGTTGCTGACCTCACAGAGGTGCCTGGAAGGTGGCACTCCCTAAAAGGGCATGGAAGCGCCATACCCTTCCCACATACCATGCCCCGTGCTTCTCTTCCAACTGGCTGCTCATCTGTATGCTTTATCATATGTTTATTAATATAACATCTAGTAAACATAAGTGTTTTCCTGAGTTCCATGAGCCACACTAGCAAGTGAACAAACCTGAAGAGGGGGTTGTGGAAACCCCCAATTTATAGCCAGTCAGTCAGATGTTCTAGAGGCTAGGAATTGCAGTTGGCATTTTCAAATGGCATGTAGTCTCATAGGACTGAGCCCTTCACCTGTGGGATCTGACTCTGACTACAGGTAGACAGTGTCAGAATTAAATTGAATGACAGAACACCCCCTTGGAGTCCAGTGGAGAACTGCTTGGTGTGTGGGGAAACTTCACGCACATCCGGAGTGAGAAGTGAAGCAGGATGCGCTGTGTTGAGTAGGATGTGTTGTGAGAGTAGGAAAAACACTGTCTTTTTTCTATCCCTTACAGTGGTCAAAGAACTCTCTGTGATGTTTTTCTTTTAAATAAAAGAAAGTATTCACACAGTGTGCAATTTTTTTTATTTTACTTTAAGTTGTGGGATACATGTGCAGAACACGCAGATTTGTTACATAGGTATACATGTGCCATGGTGGTTTGCTGCACCTATCAACCCATCATCTAGGTTTTAAGCCCCACATGCATTAGGTATTTGTCCTAATGCTCTCCCTCCCCTTGTCCCCCATCCCCTGACAGGCCCTGGTGTGTGATGTTCCCCTCTCTGTGTCCATGTGTTCTCATTGTTCAACTCCCACTTATGAGTGAGAACATGTGGTGTTTGGTTTTCTATTCCTGTGTTAGTTTGCTGAGAATGATGGTTTCCAGCTTCATCCATGTCCATGCAAAGGACATGAACCTATTCTTTTTTATGGCTGCATAGTATTCGATGGTGTATATGTGCCACATTTTCTTTATCTAGTCTATCATTGACGGGCATTTGGGTTGGTTCCAAGTCTTTGCTACTGTAAATAGTGCTGCAATAAACATACGTGTCCATTTGTCTTTAGAGTAGAATTATTTATAATCCTTTGTGTATATACCCAGTAATGGGATTGCTGGGTCAAATGGTATTTCTGGTTCTAGATCTTTGAGGAATCGCCACGCTATCTTCCACAAGAGTTGAACTAATTTACATTCCTACCAAGAGTGTAAAAGTGTTCCTGTTTCTCCACAGCCTCACCAGCATCTGTTGTTTCCTGACTTTTTAATAATCACCATTCTGACTGGTGTGAGATGGTATCTCATTGTGGTTTTGTGCAATTTTTAAAACTTCTTTAAAACAATTGATGAACATTTTGTTGCTAAAGTACATTCAAGAAATGGTAAGTACAATTAATAAGAGTCCCGTGCAAGACAACTAAGGCTGCACGCTCCTGGTGGGCCCAGGTCTGCAGGCCTGTTCCAGTGTCTATTTGCTGTGGGACTTTAGACCAATTGCATCATCTCTGAGGTTAAGTTTCTTCAGGTAGATAACATAAGGGCAATCATGCCTCATTCACCTGGCTGTTGTGAGGCATAAAAGACATAATGTATGTGAAATTCTTAGAATGGTGCCTGGCATTTTGGAAGCACATAATACACAAAAGTAATTATTATTAGTAGTAATATTAGTATTAGTATTATTAAAATATGTGTAAAAATCTCTCTATTCTAATTAACATATTTTTCAAAATAGAAATGAAAAAGTTAGATAGCTGATGAGGGAAAGAATAAGACAAAACTCAGCTCCATTTACTATGTATGTATTGAGTGCCTATTATATACTAGACGTTAAGATACAAAGATGTGTAGGACCTAGTCCCCTGCCTTTAAAAAGCTCAGAGTCTAATTGTGATGATAGATTAAACTAAACCTCTAAATATGATGTAGAACCTCTAATCTGTGCAACAAGAGGAGTAGAACAAAGAAACTAGCAATTCCTTCTTCAGCTGGTTGGAGAAACTGGACTAGGAAGGCTTCAAAGGGAAGCTGACATTAACCATGAAGTTCTGGCAGCAGGAAAAGCCATGTACCAAGGACAGTTTAGGCAAAAATGGAGCCACCACATTTGTGGGGATCTATTAATAGATGTGAAAGTAAAAGGGATGACAGACCAGACTCCAGAAGCATCTGAGGCCAAAAACAGGAGGAACTTTGAATGCCAGGGTGCAGAACTTCACCCTGGCAGCAGTGTGTGGATATGAAGGGAGTAGGCTGAAAGAGGAGGAGTCAGCTCATGAACACAGCAAGAGCAAGGGGTTACAGAAGACAGGCTGTGGAGGAGGCAAAATCCACAGTCATTGATGATGCATGGGACATGGGGGAAGAAAGAAAAAGAGGACTGAAGATGGTTGTCAGGCTTCCAGCTGGCGCAACTGGTTGTGCCTCTGAAATACAGAGTTCAGGAGAGAGCTGTGCAATGGGTGGGTTCATAAGGCTGATATTATAACAAGCCAGCCAATTCCTGTGCTGCCAGGCCTGAGGGTGTGAACGGTTGGTGGCGTTGCCAGATCCTGCAGGGTGATCTGATGGGCAAGATTAGGAAGAAGCTAGAGGTAGGGAAAGGCAACTGCTAGCCTTCTGCTCTCCACAGAACCCTGGAAAATGGCATCCACCAGCCAGTGATCACGTGCTTCAATATGCCCTAGAATGGCCCAGCCCCACATCTGACTTATCATCTTTCGCAAGCATTTCTATTTAAATCTTCCAGGCCACAAGTGCTGCAGACACAAAGGATGGAAGTATGTAATCCTGTATTAGAATCCCTGGTATCTGTGTGCTTAATCTTTCATATTTTCAATTAAATCATGAGGAAATAATTGTGCAAACCATAAATTCACCATCCACAGGGAAGTGATTCATTTATTATCCTTGAGAGGTTTGTAGCAGGGCATCTAAAAGCTTTAGATAAGGAGCTAATTTAATTTTGGTTCTCCTTTTGCTAAGATTTCTTACTCTGGGGTAATATATACAAAATAGGAAAAACATGTGAGGTCTGTAGGTCAAGAATATTAGCATGATTATTAATAACCAGCAATGTGACTTTCATACTGTTTTACTTCTTCAGTCTCCAAAGTTCTTTCTCACCTACTATGTCAATTCTTCTTAAAGGTAATATAAATAAAGCAAAAATTCCAAAAATGAAGTAGCTAATTTATGAGGGAAGCAAACTGTACTTTGGGAAGAGTCTTACCTTCAAATGTAGATATTGCCAAGCTTACAATACTTTGAATCATAGAATTCTTTTGCTGAAGGAAATCATTCCAGAGAACTTGGCTTGTTTGGGAGGTGAAACAGCGAACGCGCAGAGCAGATTGATAGCTTGAGGACACTCCCAGTTGGTCAGGAAAGGTGCAGGGACCAGAACCCGGGTTTCCTACCCTCAATCCAGCATTCTCCCCTCCACCCCTTACTGCTTCCCTAGCTGTCACTTACTCATTCTTTCAAAAATCAGATTTCAAACTTCAAACTAAAAATGGTATCTGAATTGTAATTATCTATATTTGAGTCCATCTCTCTTATTCCATCTCTCCCTAGTGACTTTAACCTCTTCCCTCGCTGTTTTTTTCTCAAATTCATAAGCCTACCACCCTTGAAAAAAAGCATCCCTTTGATCATGCGTCCCTCTCAGGTTGCCTCCTCCCCTTCTTCCCTTCAAGCCCAGCTTTTAGAAAGAATGTCTACCCTCCTGAACGCCTCTTCCTTCCCTCCCCTTCACTCCTCAGCTCACTGCCATCTGGAGTCTGTAGCTGCCACTCCACCAAACTGTTCTCACTGAAGCCTCAGACCTGGCACAACTCAAGGACCTTGCTCTTTTTGGACATCTGTACTACATGGGACGGTGTTGATCACTCCTTTCTTTTGGAAACACTCATTCCCTAACTACTGTGATATCAGCTCTTTGGTGTTTCTTTCCTTCTCAGTCTCCCTAATTGACACTTCACTTTTATGAGCCAGTGAAGCCATGAGGGTCATGGGTTGACAAATCTGGCAGGGGCAGAAGAGAGGCACAACTCTCCCAGATACGGCTCCCCCCAAAACCTTGCATCTACCACCCCAAATCAGAAATTTCATTTTCCTTCTTTCAGTTATTCATCCAACAAATATTTATCAAGTACCAACCGTGTGCCAAATAATGTACACAATGCATGGGGATACAGACATGAGAGAGGCAAGGGCTTACTTAACCTCTGCCTTCAGTCCGCACCTGCCTCCCATCCACTCCTCTCCAACCCATCCACCTTTCGGAAAGATGCAGCTAAGCATGCATTCCCCTTTGATTAAATCCTCCAGTGGTTCTCTTATCAAACCCAGTGCCTCAGCGTGGCATATAACTGGTACTAACCTATCTTTCTAACCAAAGCTCTCACCACTCTCCCCAGGGAGCACTCCAGCCTCACAGAACATCTTTGCAATTTCCCCAGATGTACCTATCCTGCCTGCCTGTATGCCTTTACATACGCCGTCTCCTTTCTCCAGAACATGTCTCACTTACCTTCTTTGTGTGGAAATATTCTCCATGTCCCCCAAAGACAGCAAAAATTTCATCTCACCTCTCACACCTTGTCGACTGCCCTGCCCATTGTTCTCATAAATCATTGAACACGCTTTTGCTATAGCACTTAGCGCTCTGTACTATTTTCTCACGTCAGCCTTTCCAGCAGACTGTGAGCTCTAAGGAAAAACAGCATATCGTTTACCTTTGTACAAGCCTCCCGCCTAGCAAAGGCTCTGCTAGATGGTTAGCAGGCATCCGCAAGAACTTTCTGAATTAATTATTCTCAGTGGTACCACGAACACTTGGTGCTTGTGCATCCCCATCAGCATTTCATATTTTCTGGGTTGATTTCATGTTCTTTACAATTGACTACATGTCATTACTTCTTTCTATTCTGTTTATGCACTTCAAGTGGAAAAGACAAAACCCGACCTCTTTTCTTATCCCTCAGGCTCCTCTTTATTAAGTTGAAACCGAAAATATTAAACCACAAAAAAGACTTGGTTCAAGGCCTTCCTCCTGTAGACAGCAAAGAGGTCAGATTTCCTTTCAATGGATTTGATTTATTCCTTCATAATGGAATAAAAATTAACTTCAGGGAAACAGTACATGCAGCCAGAGGTAATTCAATCACTAATGAATGAGATATTACATAACACAATAGGCTAATTGGCTATTCTTGATTTAAAAGGCACAGCCTCTATATTTTATAATGTTTGGTTTCCTTCTTTTCTTTCCAACGTTGTCACTGTTGTAGTAATTACTGCATAGCCCTCTTAGGAAACCGTGCCTTCCGCTCATCCCATTCCTGCCCTTTTAGATGCGCCTCGCCCACCCACCCCGGACTTCTTTGGGACTGAATTGAAAAAATCACCGCACAAAAATGCCGGTACATGCCCGACCTCCAGGATACTCCCTTCCAGCTACCTCTCCCACTCGGCTTTCCAGATTCTCCTCGCTCCCGCTTGTGGTTTGTGCCGCGGGCCCCTCACTTTCTTAGTAACACGGATGATGACTCCATTGGGACTTAGTGACCAGCTGATCTTGGCATCCCGCCGGCAGGGGGCCTCCAGATCTGCCTTGCGCTCGTCCAGTGCAGCCAGAGGCCGGGCCTGCTCCTAGGAGAACTGCCTGGAGCAGGAGCCTCAGGAAGGGGAGGGGACTGGTGGGGCACCGGCACGGTCTCGTACCTGGCCTTTTTCTGGGTTTTAGAGACGGGGTCTCATTGTGTTACTCAGAGTGGATTCTAACTCCTGGGCTCAAGCGGCCCTCCTGCCTCAGCCTTCCGAGAGCAGCTGGGACTACAGGCGTGGCACCAGTCTTCACTGGACCCTCCTTCCTCAGCCCTCAAATCTCTGCATCATAAAGGTCCGCCCAGCCCTCGCCCAGGTGCCTCCTCCCAGCCTCCCTTCTCACTGAACCAAGGCCTCCGAGGAGGACGCCCCTCGCCCTCCTCAGAGTGGCAGGCAGCCTGTGTGTGCCCCTCACTGTCCCCCTCCTCTCCCTCACAGTTCTTCCACCCACCACCACAGACCGTCGTGTGAAACCCCTGCACCGTCGACGGTCCCGTGTCTGACCGCTTACCCACCCCTTGTTGTTACATTCCCCCGTGCTGCTCACCCCTCACCCCTTAAAGACTTTAAGGTATCTGGGTCACTAGAAATTGTCATCACCCCAAACTGTTTCCTGTCAGCTTTATGATTCAAAATCTGTCTGGCCCAAGGCTTCCCTTCCAATTTATTTGCCAATCATTCCCAGCCCTTTGTTCGAATTCCTTGGGACCGCCCTGTCCATCGACCACTAACTACACTTCTCTATGCCTCCACCTCCTCCTTTCCCCTAACTCGGAGTCAATGGCTCTAACCAGAGTCCCTCCAAAGCACTCTCAGTCTCCCTCCCCTCTGCTCTCAGCACTTACCCGGTTCCACTCTGGGCCAATCAGGCACCCGGCTTTGTGCTCACACGTTGGATAATATCAGTGCTGCTGGAGAAAATCCAGTGTGGTGGAGCAAGACTCTCCTTCCTGCCACCGGCTTCTTTTCCTCCTCTCCTTCCCCTGGTGACCTCCGAGGAGGAGTGTGAGGCAGGTTCAGTTCTGGGTCCTCGTCTTACCTGATGTGGCCCCGGCCCATCCCATTCCCCATGTTTTCCTCCCACTTTGCTGGCTTCTGCTTCTCAGCACCTCCACGGCTCCCTCCTCATCTCTGGCCGTTTCCTAGAGGGGCCAGCCTTCATCCCCTCCTTATCTATCCTCACTCCTTAGAGAATCATCTGACCGCATGGCTTTCAACATCATCTAAATGCCGATAACTGTCAAATGTGTGTGTCTACTAGCCTGGACCCCTCCCTGGATTCCAGAACTTCCTACTTGAACTTTCAACCTGGATATTTCATGAGCATCTTAACGTTCATGTGTCCAAACCCAATTATCCATTTCCCACTCTGCCCACCTTGTTATTCATGCTACCTTCCCATCTCAAAAGCAACTTCGTCATTCTGTCTTTCTTGGGTCAAACAATTACAGTCATCCTTGACTCAACAGCTTTTTTTTTCTTCTTTTTTTTTTTTTTTAAGACATCGTCTTGCTCTGTTGCCCAGGCTGGAGTGCAGCGGCACTATCTCGGCTCACTGCAACACCTGCCTCCCAGGTTCAAGTGATTCTCCTGCCTCAGCCTCCAGAGTAGCTGGGATTACAGACACCCACCACTACACCTGGCTGATTTTTGTATTTTTAGTAGAGATGGGGTGTCACCATATTGGCCAGGCTGGCCTCGGACTCCTGACCTCAAGTGATCTGTCCGCCTCTGCCTAACAGCTTCTCTTAAACCTCTATCTAATTGGTCAGCAAATCCCGTCATCTCTCCCTCCTGGCCTCCTCCACTTGGGAGGGCACTGGGAAACACTGTCCTTGTATTTATAGTCCTTTAATCCCAACCATTACTAACATCATGTGTAGACAGTGGTCAGAATGAAGCCAGACTGCAGTGGTTCTCAACCTTGGCAGCAGTTGGAATCACCTGGGGGACTTTTAAAAATACTGGTGCCTGTGTCCCACCCCAGAGATTCTGCTTTAATTGGTCTGGGATATGACCTGAGAGTTTTAAAAGCTAACCCCAGCTCCCGCCCAGGTGGTTCTAATGTTCAGCCAAGTTTTCAAACAGCTGTGCTAGGGCTTAAAAAAGACCCAGTGAAAATCATTAGCGTTAATCAGTGCTTAAATGTCAAGTAGATTTTGGTATCACACACTAAAAAACTTTCCAAAATATTAAAGTAAACAATACAGACAGTCCCCAACTTAGTGACGGTTTGATTTACGATTTTCAGCTTCATGATTGGTTTATTGGGGTATTAAATGCGTTTTTGGCTTATGCTATTTTCGACTTACTATGGGTTTATCAGGATGTGACATGACCCCATCATAAGTCATGAAACATCTTGCAGTTAAAACTGGGAGATTATATAAGTACACCCTCGTCTCTTTGAATGAGCCTTATAATTTTAATCTTCACTTTGATAATTTTTTCTCATTTTAATAAAATATTTTAGTTTTCAATATTGATCATTTAGTGAGAAAATCCCAGCACTGCCTAAAATATTGGGCAGAATATCACTATCTCAGCTCCATTTTACATCCTCTGTGTTTTTCTTTTCTTTTTGTGGGGAGGGGATGGGGTCTCACTCTGTTGCCCAGGCTGCAGTGCAGTGATGCCCTCTCAGCTCACTGTAACCTCTACCTCCTGGGCTCAAGTGATCCTCCTGCCTCTGCCTCCCAGCCTGTAGCTTGGGACTACAGGCATGCACCACCACACCTGGTTAATTTTTGCTCCTTTTTTTGTAGAGATGAGGTCTTACTATGTTCCCAGGCTGGTCTCAAACTCCTAGGTTCAAGCAGTTCTCTGACCGTGGCCTTCTAAAGTGCTAGAGTCATAGGCATGAGCCACTGCGCCTGGCCCGCTGTGTTTTCTTTTCAAGCACAGTAATTTTTTCTGTGAATTTTGGGGAAACTGAGCTGAGAAGCTCACCTCTGTTTTTGGCAATGTTGTAGGAGTTTAACAGATTAATGAGGCCAGTTTTATCACCTTAATTTTCTTTTTAAATTTTCTAGCACTTTTCCTCCAGAGGCATTCATGGGGGGTCATCACGTCACAGTTTTTTCATGATACGTTAACAAGCAGGGGAGAAAGAGACAATTGGTAAGTAAAGAACGATATCTAAAAGCAACTCACAGAGTCGGGGGTGAAAGGACAGGGGAGAGGAGAGGCATCAAAGGGCCTGCAGCGAGGGGCGCCTCTTCTCAGTTCCTACCGCCGGGAGAGAGCTGGGAGAATAGACAGCTGGCTCATCATGAAGGGTCACCCACATCACCGCAGCAGAACCCAGCTTTTCCCTTCCACGTCCTGATTCCTACTTTTCTCAGCTCAAAATTTCTATTTCCACCTGTTTACTAGAATTGAAGGAAATTCCTGATTAACCTAAAAAACACAGTTTGGGTTGCCTGATTTTCCTATTAACTTCTTCCTCTGATGTGTATTGTTCCAGAGAGACAGCATGCAAACTGTGTTCATCTGAAACCCAAAGTTTATTTATTTTAAAACGTGTCAGCCAGTGTGTCACACAAATCAATAAAAATAACTCTTGTAAAAAAAGAAATCCCTAAAAGGGAATGGAGTCAGAAATTTTGTGGTGCGTTTTATTACTTGTTTATTTTTGCTCTCATTTTACCACTCTTGTATTTCAAGCTTGAATTATGATTATACTTCTGAAATAATTTTAAGCAAACAAAAATATTCATCACACTATGAAAACAAATATCCAAAAATATGCTCTATGGTCACAATTTTTGTATCTGAACATTTACCTACGACTCTGTATATGAACAGTGATACTTGTTTTTCAATCATTTCTTATTTGACTTGTAAAACAGAATTTTTCTATTTTTGGAAAATATCTTAAAAATTAAGAACAAGCCCTTCTCCTCAGTGCTACACATAAAGGACCTTCTTTGTCACCTTCTGTCCTGGAATGACAGGACAGGTCGACCCTAATTTCACTCCTCTAAACAAGGTAATGATGGCTTGTGCAGGAAATCTAAATCTGGCCTCAGAGGCAGCCCAGTGATTTTCCAGGTCAAGGGAAAGGGAGAAAGCAAAGATCTGAAGCTCTGCCCTCCTCTCCTGGGTATCTGCCGTCCACAGAGCTGGGGGAAGTCTGCCATCTAGTGGAAAGTAGAGGGCACTGACAGTTACTTGCAATAGTGGTTTCCCAGGACCGCTTGAGCATCAAGCGTTTCTGATCCGGGGGCATAGCTTCCATCAGGGACAGGGTGGACTAGCAGAAGAATATTCAACAACAACAAGTAACATTCAAACCCAATACACAAATGTTTCTTTATATATATAAACTACACATAGTGCCCTATACAAAGTGCTTCTTCATAAAGTAGTGCCAGGTGAAGTGCTAAGTGTTTTAGTTAATAAATCTCATCTCATTTCTACAGTGATTATCAATGTATTCTGCATGATTTTTCCTATACAATGGCAAAAACACAGGGTGGGAAGTATACTTAATCCCTAACACAGTGATTACCATTATACTTTTAAAATTGCTGTACAGAGAATATTTTCCATCTGTTCAGATCCATACAATAATCGATTTCAGTTTATGCTTGTCTTTTGACAACAATTGACATATTCAGGTAACAACATTAAGGGGGCTGGGGGACAGACCAGGTTACTCAGATATATTTGTGCTCTCTCCTTTTGATTTCATTTGATTTCATTTGTTACACTGTTCCAATTTGCTTTAAGTGATTGTTTTTAATTATGTTAAAGTAGCACATGCCATGCATATATTTAAAAGCATGGTCTCCTCTTCCGCCCCTTCCCACCTCTAGTCTTGGTCCCTAGAGGTAATGACCTGCAGTTCTGTTAGTTGCTTCTTTTCGTATTTTCCTCCATAATCTCTAAATAAAACGCTCTGCTTCTATTTCCTTGTCTGTCTGTGGTGGATTGACTGCCTTAGTTTGGGTTCTTTCAGAGGCAGATCCTGAAATGGATGATTCAAGGACAGGATGGGAAAGTAAGATGAGGAGAAGGCCATCAGTAAAGGGCAAATCATCACACCAGCTGCCACCATAGGCACCTGCACCAGACCCAGTGTAGAAATGGGAGCCAGTGCGAAACAGAGCTCACGACCACTGGTTTAGAGCTGCTCCTGTCACATGGGCAGCAAGTAAGCTCCAGCACCAAGAGCAACACCAAAGCAGATGCTGGCAATTGCACACAGAGCTGCCTTGTGCAGCCGTGGTCAGGGCCAGGTGTGTGGGCAGGGAACTGCCAGTGTCTGCTACAGCCATCTCACCTGTCGGGTACCCAGGTAAGCAAGAGCCTTGCACACCCCCACCTTCCTCATCCTTCCCTTTTCACCCCACCTCCTCTCTCCTACTGCTCAGCTTCTGATTACATTTGCTTCCTTGTTTACATTCTTCTATAGCTATATTTAGGCCTACAGTTTGATTTTGAAAGCACATTGATGATGTGACTTTGCAGTATTTTTCACTGCCGAGCTAGTGTTCACTATAATTACATTTCTTTTTTTTTTTTTTTTGAGACAGGGTCTCGCTCTGTTGCCCAGGCTGGAGTGCAGTGGCACAATCACAGCTCACTGCAGCCTGACCTCCCAGGCTCAAGCAATCCTCCCACCTTAGCTGCTCTCCCCTCAATAGCTGGGACTACAAGCACAGGCCACCATGCCCAGCTAATTTTTATATTTTTCGTACAGATGGGGTTTTGCTACGTTACCAAGGCTGGTCTCAAACTCCTAGCCTCAAGCGATCTGCCCACTTCAGCTTCTCAAAGTGCTGGGATTATATAGGCATGAGCCGCCACACCCAGCCACATTTCTTTTATATTAGAGCTTTTTAATTTTTCCTGAAGTTATTAACTGCCTTTTAATTTTCTTGCACCTTTTGCCCTTGTTTCACATTAGTGTTTTTCCTTGACCTCTTCTGCCAATTAGGGATCAAGTGTTCCATGGAGACTCTTTCTTTTTTTATTATTATTATTATTTTTTTTTTAATTTTTTTTAAGTGGAGTCTCACTCTGTCGCCCAGGCTGGCATGCAGTGGCGCAATCTCAGCTCACTGCAACCTCCACCTCCTGGGTTCAAGCGACTCTCGTGCCTCAGCCTCCCAAGTAGCTGGGATTCCAGGCATGTGCCACCACACCCAGCTAATTTTTGTGTTTTTATTAGAGATGGGGTTTCACCATGTTGGCCAGGATGGTCTCCATCTCCTGACCTTGTGATCCGCCCACCTCAGCCTCCCAAAGTGCTGGGATTACAGGTGTGAGCCACAGTGCCCAGCCCCATGGAGACCCTTTCTATGTAGAGTTTCTCTGCAGGGCCTTGTCTCATACTGTGGAATGTTCCTACAAGGGAATACTACTCTGCAAAACAAAGAATAAATTATTGAGACATGCAACAACACAGATAACTCTGATTGACTTTGCAGAGTGAAAAGCTAGACATTTACATAAAATTCTATGAAATACAAATGAATCTACAGTGATAGAAAGAAAGAAATCAGGCTGGGTGCGGTGGCTCACGCCTGTAATCCCAGCACTTTGGGAGGCCGAGGTGGACAGATCACGAGGTCAGGAGTTCGAGAGCAGCCTGGCCAATATGGTGAAACCCTGTCTCTACCAAAAATACAAAAATTAGCCAGGCATGGTGGCACGCTCCTGTAGTCCCAGCTACTCAGGAGGCTGAGACAGAAGAATCACTTGAACCCAGGAGGCTGAGGTTGCAGTGAGCCGAGATCGCACCACTGCACTCCAGCCTGGGCAACAGGGCGAGATTCCGTCTCAAAAAAAAAAAAGAAAGAAAGCAATCAGTGGTTTCTTGATGTACTCAGAAACTGGTATGTTCACCATCTTTTGTTCATGGGTATGTACATATGTCAAAGCTTATGAAATTATATAATTTAAACATGTGCAGTTTATTGTGATTAATTATAATAAATCGTTACACTCAATAAAGTGTTGATGATGTCAATGGTACCATGAATAAAATAGAAAGATTATTAGTTAATGCTATGTGAATAAAATAGAAAGAACATTGTTGAACAAACCATTTGACCAATGAATGTTTCTCACTGCCTTATAAAAAGAGTAAGTGAATTATTAAGGCTTAGCAAAGTAAAGAAAGTCTCCCACAGTCTCTGATTGGAATTCCATAAAACAATAGCCGTACATTTTTACTAGACAAAGAAAACATACATATAAAATAGCTAACTTTTCAAACTCCAGCAAAAGTCTCCATTCATTTACTTTTTGTTTGCCTTAATATAGCTTTATTACCTTATAGAACATTTCCCTATATCTTAAGGGGGAACATCTTTACAAAGAGTAAAGCAGGAAGGGAATAAAATCAGGACAAAAACAAAGATCACTAAAGGATGAGCTTTAAACCATGTTCCTCATCTTCTGGTAGAATTCCACCAGATTCTTCTACTTAGAAACTCAAGCACCCAACTCATCAATTTCACCTCTAATTCTACACTTGCAACTTTATCAGCCATGTCTTCTGAGAGCTTGCACTCATATTCACCAACACATCCAAAACCAAAACAGATTTAGAAACAGCTCTAGACTCCTTGCAGAGAGGGAGTCTCACCTTATCATTCTTTTCAGCATTCCAAGTAATTGTACCCTCTCCCATCCTTCCCATCTTCTCCCCAGGCCATTGAAAAGGGTTGAATTTTAAGTACATAGTTGACCCTTCAACCTGGACACCGTTTATTGAACTGTCTGGTTGTGAAACTGCATTGCCACATATCAATATAGTTGTGGGAACTTGGAGATTCAATAGGTATAACAATCTGTTTATGTTAAAACAAACAAAACAGCCATCTCCTTTTATGTGCAGAGCCTACTGCTGTAAGGCACAAGGCTTACTCCTGAGACAGAGTACCAGGAGACAGGAGGCAATTTGAGAGGCTATAGCAAGATAACTGAGTAAAATACTAACTTGTATTTATGTCCCTATATTTTCCCTTTTTTCTCATTTCAGAGCAGGAGTCAGGCCTTTAGCATTTTCTTCCCTTGGTGATTTTTTAAAGTAGAAATCAGAAGTCACTTTTGATCAAAGTCTTTTCTGTCTTTTGCAAACACTGAAGCTACCTGCAGAGAGGATGACAGGGGCCTCAGAGGGAAGAGGAGAGGGATAATTTTAAGAGCAAAGAGAAAAAGAGGTGGGTCGGAGGTTTGGAAGAAGACAAAGGTTAGTGGGTCCCAAGGCTAAGGGAGATCCACATTCTACTCATCACCCTTTCAGAGTGGAAAGGCCGGACCCCAGACACAGACACTCCATGTCTTCCCAACTCCTCCCATCCCAAGCATGGCACAACTGCTGGAACCAAGGGACCATGCAGGCTAGAACAAAGGGCGCCTCAGCTGTGAGTGGTGTAGACCATGGCCAGTGTCCAAAGGGGCCAACATCCTAGATCATTGGCACAACACTGAGTGGTTAAGGAGCTGGACTTAAGTTGATTTAAATTAAAAAAGAAAAAACCACATTTTTACCATCCCATTTGCTGCAGTAAGATTGATGTGGGGACCCCCTGCAGTACAGCAAATACTGGCTGGGTGACACATAGCTACAGAAGGCACTGATTACAGGTGCTGGGATTCAGGCCACTTCATCCTGAGCCCGTGGCTGAGATTGTGTGGTAGAATCGGTGTAATCAGATGAGTGTAAACTCATGCTGACTAGGGAAAACTGGGAGTCTATAATAAGCTTAGGTTCGAAGCGTACTTTAGAAAGCTTTAAAATCCCTGGACAAACCAGCCTCTCTTTCTGGAGTAACAAAATACAAATCACTTGTTTGTTATGGTTATCTTGACTTTGTGGAAGTGAATTTAAAACAGGACATTATCAATGAACACAAAACAAAAAATCAAATAAAAGGATTGTTTCCAACATTGTCAAACTTGTGTAAATTAAAAACAAATAAACAAACCAACCAACCCTGGGCAGATACAAAGTGATCAGAGAAGGAAGTGAGGACAGTGGGAGCCTTGTTAGTTTGCTAAGATTAAAATCCTCTGTAATTCTCAGAAAATATCTAGAAAGATTTTAAGGTTTCTAAGTTAATTCTCTTTTTAAAAATTACAATTCTCCCTGGAGGAGGAGAGGCACAGAGAAGCCAATAGACATGCTACCTGGAGAATGGGCCCACGTGTCCAGGTAGCAGTAAGCTATTCTGTCTGTGATGGACATAACAGTTCCCAGAAACTGAGGTATTTTCCATCATTTCCAGTGATACTACCCCAAGTGTCCCCCACCCCCCGAGGAGAGACATTTGAATCTTATTTAGGGAATACCCCCAAGAAACTGCTGCTATTGCAGAACTAGAAAGCAAGAAATGGAGAAATGAATGATGATGTGGCTCCCTCAGAGTCCCCTCTGCTTCCTGGATTGCTGCCTCCCTGGGCTTCCTCTCCTGCAGCCACACGGGCCTCCTGCAGGTTCCTCCCTCCTGTGGCCACTGCATCTGCTTCCCTCTGCTGCCTGGATGCTCTTTCCAGACTCAGTATAGAGCATTCCTGCACCACCTTCAAACAGCACCTCCTCAATAAGGCCTTCTCTATCAATCTCTGTACAACTGCAGCCCTGGCCACAGCCCCAGCTCTCCCTTCTGCACTTAGCACCATCTGACACACTACATGTTTTACTTAATAGTTTATCATCTGTCTCTCCCCACTAGACAAGAAGTACTGAGTCTTTTGTTCAATGTTGTGACCTCAGCCCACATTGGCTGCTGTATTAGTCCATTTTCACACTGCTGATAAAGACATACCTGAGACTGGGAAGAAAAAGAGGTTTCAATGGACTTACAGTTCCACATGGCAGGGGAGGCCTCAAAATCATGGAGGGAGGCAAAAGGCACTTCTTACATGGCAGCGGCAAGATAAAATGAGGAAGAATCAAAAGTGGAAACCCCTGATAAACCCATCAGATCTTGTGAGACTTATTCACTATCACAAGAAAAGCATGGGAAAGACCTGCCTCCATGATTCAATTATCTCCCCCTGGGTACCTCCCACAACATGTGGGAATTCTGGGAGATATAATTCCAGTTGAGATTTTGGTGGGGACACAGCCAAACCATATCATTCCACCCCTGGCCCTCCAAATCTCATGTCCTCACATTTCAAAACCAATCATGCCTCCACCAGTTCCCCAAAGTCTTAACTCATTTCATCATTAACCCCAAAAGTCCACAGTCCAAAGTCTCATCTGAGACAAAGGAAGTCCCTTCCACCTATGAGCCTGTAAAATCAAAAGCAAGCAGTTACTTCCTAGATACAGTGGGGATACAGTTATTGGGTAAATACAGCCATTCCCAGTGGGAGAAATTGGCCAAAACAAAGGGGTTACAGGGCCCATGCAAGTCCGAAATCCAGCAGGGCAGTCAAATTTTACAGTTCCAAAATGATTTCCTTTGACTCCAGGTCTCACATCCAGGTCATGCTGATGCAAGAGGTGGGTTCCCTTGATCTTGGGCAGCTCTGCCCCTGTGGCTTTGCAGGGTACAGCTTTTCTTCCGGCTGCTTTCATGGGCTCGTGTTGAGTGTCTGCAGCTTTTCCAGGCACACAGTACAAGCCGTCTGTGGATCTACCATTCTGGGGTCTGGAGGATGGTGGCCCTCTTCTCACAGCTCCACTGCGCAGTGTCCTAGTAGGGACACTGTATAGGGGCTCCAACCCCACGTTTCCCTTCTGCACTGCCCTAGCAGAGGTTCTCCATGAGGGCCCAGCCCCTGCAGCAAACTGTTGCCTGGGCATCCAGGCGTTTCCATACATCTTCTGAAATCTAGGTGAAGGTTCCCAAACCTCAGTGCTTGACCTCTTTACACCCACAGGCTCAACACCACATGGAAGCTGCCAAGGCTTGGGATTCCACCCTCTGAAGCCACAGCCTGAGCTGTACATTGACTCTTTTCAGCCACGGCTGGGACACAGGGCACCAAGTCCCTAGGCTGCACACAGCATGGGGACCCTGGGCCTGGCCCACAAAACCACTTTTTCCTCCTGGGCCTCTGGGCCTGTGATGGGAGGGGCTGCCATAAAGTCTCTGACATGGCCTGGAGACATTTTCTCCACGGTCTTGGGGATTAACATTAACAGCTCCTTGCTACTTAAGCAAATTTCTACAGCCAGGTTGAATTTCTCCCCAGAAAATGGATTTTTCCTTTCTGTTGCATAGTCAGGCTGCAAATTTTCCAAACTTTTATGCTGTGCTTCCCTTATAAAACTGAATGCCTTTAACAGTACCCAAGTCACCTCTTGAAGGCTTTGCTGCTTAGAAATTTCTTTTGCCAGATACCCTAAATTATCTCTCTCAAGTTCAAAGATCCACAAATCTCTAGGGCAGGGGCAAAACGCCCCCAGTCTCTTTGCTAAAACATAACAAGAGTCAACTTTGCTCCATTCCTAACAAGGTCCTCATCTCCATCCTAAATCACCTCAGCCTGGATTTTATTGTCCACATTGCTATCAGCATTTTGGGCTAAGCCATTCAACAACTCTCTAGGAAGTTCAGAACTTTCTCACGTTTTCTTGCCTTCTTCTGAGCCCTCCAATCTGTTCCAATCTCTGCCTGTTACCCAGTTCCAAAGTCACTTCCACATTTTCAGGTATCTTTTCAGCAACGCCCCACTTTACGGGTACCAATTTACTGTATTAGTCCATTTTCACATTGCTGATAAAGACATATCCAAGACTGCACAATTTACAAAAGAAGCCTCATAATCATGGCAGAAGGCAAGGAGGAGCAAGTCACATCTTACATGGATGGCAGCAGGCAAAGAGAGAGAGAGTTTGTGCAGGGAAACTCCTGTTTTTAAAACCATCAGATCTCATGAGACTCATTCACTATCATGAGAAGAGTGCAGGAAAGACCCACCCCCATAATTCATTCACCTCCCACCAGTTCCTTCCATGACATGTGGGAATTGTGGGAGTTACAATTCAAGATGGGATTTGGATGGGGATAAAGCCAAGCCATAACAGGTGCCTACTAAATGCACACTGCAAGAACAAATGAGTGAGTGAATGCTGGTGGAATAAATGCTGAAGTGGCCTGGGGTTAGTGGCTGTGGCTTAGTGTCTGGGTATAGGATTCTGGGGCCCACTGACAATCATCTTTGTTTACACTGTGGTCAGAAAGCTGGTCAGCTTGGACTTGAGCACAGTGGAAGGGGCTAGGCTGGGAGAACATCATAGGATGTGCTCTCCCAGAGAGTGGCCTAAATGACTTCAGACTGCTCCACATGTCTCCCAATGAGAGCATATGGCAAAGGAGGGTTGCTCCCTCCACAGTATTTTTACTCCTTTGGTGCTCTTTTCAAAAAAGGAAGTTCCATGAGAACAAAAGGGCTGGCAAAGTTCCTATTGGGGGATGAGGAAGCCATGCCACATTTTTACAAATGCAACCTAATGCCAAGCTCAAAGACAAAATACTGTAAAGTACAATCTCTGCTTGCATAAATTTATTCTCTTGACTGGGAGACAAGACTAATAGGTGAGAAACAAATATGGCAGCATTTTTCTAACAAAGATTCCCTGAGAACAGAGGAGCAGATGCTGGCAATTGCACACAGAGCTGCCTTGTGCAGCTGTGGACAGGGACAGGTGTGTGGGCAGGGAACTGCCAGTGTCTGCTACAGCCATCTCACCTGTCAGGTATCCAGGTAAGCAAGAAGCTTACAGAAATAACTGATAAGTTATTTCTGAAGTCTGGATAGTATTGGAGTTGAAATGCAGAATTTCTCTGCAGTCTTATGTTTTAATTTTTAAATCAAATTTTGGATGTAATCTGCATTATGAAATTTTAAAAAATTACTTACCAGTGAATTCAACTTAGAATTTTTTCCCACAATTTCAAGACAAACTGATACTCCACGGCAAAATGAGCCTGGCCAATCCTGAGGCTCTGGGTCCCCCTTGGTACTGTGAACCCCAGGGCTGTAACTCTAATGGGTAAATGTGGAATTTTGATATCACAAAAAATATCACCTTGTGTCAAAATGCATCATACAGACAATATCTACAAGGGCTGCTCAGGAAAGGCCAAAATGTTTGGAAAGACTACATGGAGCCAGCTGTAAAAAGCATGATTCAAACTGGTGCCAAACATCTAAGCTAGCTAAGCTGTAGGATACAATTTTTGCTTTATTTATAATTTTTTTTTTTCAATTAGGAAACTGAGACTTAAGAATTTTCTCTAAAAAAAATAAAAACTGGAAAACAAGTAATTTTAGAAACAAATATATATTTTTGATAGAAACTGTAAGTAAATATTCAGTACTACCAGAAATATACTATCTTCAACTCTCGGCTTTTTTCCAAAAGATACAGAATCATTTTTTGGAAAAGATACAAGATGTACAGACAAATCACATTCATACCTTACAATTTAAATTCATAATGAACAATGAATATTTTCATATTTTCCAGAAGTTTGAAATTTCAAAGTTGTTAGCAAAATTATTCATTTCCATAATTTTTACGAGTAAAAATAGAAAGAGCTGATCATGTACCTTAATATTGTCACTTTATATATTACTCAAAAGTACAAATAACCCTAAAAGTAGAATCCCAGGCTTATCATATTATAAAAATACTGAGACATTTATCAAACATAACTAATATAAATGAAACTACATTTTTAAAAATGTTTCACAAACACCAGTCCATCTTTCTCTTTGGTTCAGAAAATAAAAGAGGTAGGTTCAAATAAAGAAAATGCCTATTACATCATTAGATTTTCATTAAAATGCTGGAAATTTATAACAGAAATTATTAGAAGTGAAATGAGTTTAAGAACTAAATTAAAAACTGATAATAACTTCAACTAGTAAATATTTTTCTAAGTTCTAATCACACAAATAAGAAAAGATAGTTGACTATAAAAATGGCTTTAGTAAAATAAAAAAATGCTCTCATTATTATAAATTAAGTCTCCTATATCCTAACATGTTCCTAAAACTTGGGGCAAGAGAGAATATGAATGTATATGTTTACAAATTGGGCCTTTCATTTAAATATAGGTATCTAATGTATAAGAGTAATACATACTACTATTAATATGTATCTCTCACCTTTGTGCTGCCCATATTGAAAACAGCAAGTTCAAAGATATTCAACAGTGAGGGAGAAATAAGCACATCATTTGCTCATGATCAATCCACTTCATGCAATTAAAAAAGAAATTTCAGGTTACTAAGAATGGTCCCAAGAAGTCTTCCTGACTAAAACGGAATCTGATTCAAAAGGTAGGAAACAAAGGACAAAGGAAAACAAAGATGCTCTGCAGAAGCTGATACAAGTCAAAGGATTTCGTTTCCTGCTGCTTTTCAAAGCAATGGCAGGATAAACGGAATCTTTCAAATAAATTGCCTTGTGTTGGTAATTTAACAGTAATATACTGAAAATTAGTGTATAACTCCAGGAACCAAATAATGGTACAGTGGTAAAATGGAAAAGTGCCCACTGAAATAAATATAATTTCATCACTTCCCTTCAGAAATTCCACCACTGTGTTCATTCGTATTCAGCTGAAAGAAAAATAAGGACATAAACCCTATACTTATTTGGATGCTTTTGCTGTAAGGTATATTTTAAATGTAATGATTTTCTATTAATGGTTCTATAAGGAAATTTAAAGAAATCTATAAAGACATTCAAAATATATAAAACAAGAAATTTAAATATAAAGGAACTGGCATAAACGTAAACCACCCGAAATAAAGATTAATGATTTATAACTCTAACACACAAAACAAATTTTGTTCAAGCCAGTACATTTTCAGATTTCGGATTCAGGGCAGAGATTTGCAGGATTATTAAGAAAAGATAAAGTATAATTGTGTGGCCTTTTCAAAACACATTAAAACTATGATTTTGAACATTTCTGTGTACATATAATTTAGCCCAAAAGTTTGAAGTGACCATTGTTACCATCTTCCCTTTTGTGAAAAAAATGCAGCTTCTTTTGCCATAGACTTGTTTCAATTCGAGGAGAAAAAGTCACTCCAGAGATTGTTGAAAGTTTCAATTATCAGGCTAAAGCAAAAAATGCAACATCATTTCTGGGTTACTCCTAAAGTTTGCTTCATATTTTCATAAACCACATAACTGATGCCTACAGCAGGGAGCACCTTCATGAAGTTTGGGGTGATGCCTCTGTAAAGTCCTGGTATTCCTTCTTTGGAAATAATTCGTCGAAAGAGGCCAACCATATTCAGCTGTGGGGAACCTTCTAACATGGCTAAAAAATAAAAAAAGAGGGTAATTTAATATTCAAGTATGTTTCATTATTATGACAACAAACAATTATGACCCAGAATGATATTCTAAAATACAGTAAAAGGACAACATTTATTCCAAGAAGCCCAAGACAACATCCCTTTTATGATCCTCTTTGTATAGCACCTAACAGTGAGTGTCCTAACTATAGTAATGATGGTAATAATAGTTATTTATTAATTACTATGTTCTAAATACTGGGTTAATTACCTTCCATACCAATCTTGCAAGGTAAATGTTATATCAATTTTGTAAGTGAGCAATTGGAGGCTTAGAAAGATGGAGAAATTTGTCCTAAAAAAATCTAAGTAGAAAATGGTAGGGCTGAGATCCAATGGTCTGACTCCAAAGCTGGTACACTTTCCACCACCCCACAGTGCTGCTGCTGCCTCCTTCTTACTAGACAAGCGCTGAAGAGAGAACAGTTAAATCTCAGGAAGTAAGGGGAGTATGGAAGAAGCTCTGGGAAGCTTGGGAAAAAGCACAAAGACCTGGGCCTTGGAAATGACCTCAACAAGCAGGAAGAGAAAGCGAAAACCAGTGTTGCTGGCACAACCAAGACAACGGGAGGAGTACCATGTGCTATGGAGATGCAGCCAATTGTTGTATGTGGTTATTACACAGAGAGTGAACAAAGTGGGGCTAGATTATTAAAGGCTTTGAAATTCCCACTAACAACTTTGGAACTGACACCGAAAGGCTGCAAAGATGTCTGAACAGATGTAAAATGATCAGACTTTTAGGTCAGAAATGACAGTCTATCAGCCATAGACAATCTATCAGCCGTATCAGTCATGCAAAGTTCTGGATCAGAGCTGGCAGACAGGAGGGTTAGAATCAGACTGCATGTGTCTGAATTTCAGTCCCACTATTTACCACAGGTATAATCTTGTGGGAGTTACTTAAATTCTCTCTGCCCCAGTTGCTCATCTGAAAAATGGGGATAATGTTAGTATTCCCATCCCCAAGATGGTTATGATGGTGAAATGAGAGAATACACAAGAAACGTGTAGTTCACTACTTTGTGTTTTTCTCTACAGCCATGACTGTCTCTCAGCTCCTTAAATACACCATGTTGGTGCCTGCCTCAGTGTCTTCACACATGCTTTCCCTCAACTGGAATGTTTTCTGTTCCCACTCCACTGGCCTGTGCCCAGCTAACTCCCACTCATCTTTCCAGTCTCAGCTTCACTGACAGCATTCTGCAGCGCCCAAGTTAGGTTATAGCTCCTTGCTCTGTGCTCCCCTAACAAAAGAGGAGTTGGTTTAACCAGGTTGTTTACTTGCTGGACATAACGTCTTCTCTACTCTACACTGGCGAGGCCACACCTGACTTGTTGACTGCTCTACCCCTAGCATCTGGCAGTGTCTAGAATGGGACAATGGCTCAGGGAGTATTTGCCAATTAGTTACTGACTGCTTGGCTGGGGTTGCTGTGGCTGGCACTTGGAAGGGAGGTTGGGAATAGAGCTGTAGATGCCCAAGGTGTACTACTTAAGAAAACAATGGATAAGACTGACCAGGGAAAGCATCAAAGAGAAAAGAAAGGCATTTGAATGCATACTTTAATAGAGTGGGGATAGCAATAAAAGCCAGCAAATGGTAAAAGTTATCAATGGGCTGGCAGAACAACCAGGATGGTACAGTGTAATCAAAGCCAACAATGGAGACAGTGTCACAGTGAGGAGGAATCACAGCTCAAAACTTGTAGGGTCTACGCAACACTAAAAAATGATTCCAACCACCATTTACCAAAAATTTAACAAACCCAAGATGCTTTATTTATATTGTTGGTAATTCTTACAACACTGTACAATTTTCATTCCCATTAAAAACCCCAAGAAGTCTGAGGCAAGGATCTGAACCCAAATCCATCAGATACTAAAGCTTATAATCTTAAAACGTGCATGTAACACAGTCAAAAAAAATAGTACTCTGTTTATCTATAAGGCATATGTATGCATACAGTACATATGCAATGCTTCTGTCGCATTAAAATTTCATGACGAGGGAGCATTTAGAAAAAGAATTTCTGAAAAGATTCCTTAAGGAGGCAATAATGAAAAAAAGGTTGAGAAATACTGTCTTAAAACTACAGTCTGCATCTTAGTAGAACTTGGAGTTCTAAAAGCACATTACTGGTGCAGCACTTTTATCGGTGTGGTTCTGTAATCAAAAATTCACCTTGAGCCTGCATGCGAGTTCTCACCAAAGCCAATGGGTAGCTGGCCAGCTGACCACAGGTGCTGGATAAGGCACCGCATCCCAGCAACACCATGACTCCAGGGTTTACAGAATCTTTTGCAAAATTATCCAGCCAATAGGACTTCAAGAGCTGCCAGAGAAATAAAGAAGAAAATAATTAACGAACTCTACAACTTCAACGTAAACATTTTCACAGCTATTCTCAACCTCATGAGAAGCCCCGTTTCTGCAGGATGAGGCCACGCATTTGCAGAAGCAGCAGGCACTGCAGGAGGCGGTGACTCTGTGGAGAGGTGGGAGGCCACTGGGGGTGCGGAACACATGAGGTTTGCACCGGTTACTGACATTCTTCTAAACAAACGTGAACTGCGCAGCAAACGCTGCAGGATCTAAAGAACACCTCTTATGGTGAGTATTAATAAAATAATATAATTCTACTAATTGTATCTCATTTTACACGTTACATATATTTCATTTGAGCCTTACAGAAACTCTTACATAAATCTATTATTCTGATTTTAGAAATGAGAAAAATTCATCTCAGCGGAGTTTTTGTTTGTTTTTTTGAGATGGAGTCTCGCTCTTGTCACCCAGGCTGTAGTGCAGTGGCCCAATCTCTGCCTCCCAGGTTCAAACGATTCTTCTGCCTCAGCCTCCTGAGTAGCTTGGATTACAGGCACCCACCACCACGCCCAGCTAATCTTTGTACTGTTAGTAGAGACAGGGTTTCACCATGCTGGCAAGGCTGATCTCAAACTCCTGACCTCAGGTGATCCGCCCGCCTCGGCCTCCCAAAGTGCTGAGATTATAGGCATGAGCCACCACACCAGGCCCAGAGTTTTTTTAAGAAGGACTCAGAACCAGGCGTGCTGATCAAAAGGCCATACTTTATCCCTGTTACTCTAGGTCCCTGTATTTCATTAGAAGGCAATAATTAGGAGAAACTGTATAAAATATATATGATAATCAACTTTTTAAACATAAGATACTTTAAGTATAAAATACATGTTAATATGTTATATAACAAGTTTAACTTTTTAATTTTTTAATCCTGTAAGACTAAAAATTTTAAATCCTACAGGATTAAAAAATTATCTCAATGGATTAAAAAATCCATTGAGTGCATTTCTCAATGGAAATCTTGCAGGTTAGAAGGAAATGGAATGTTATATTCTATGTTTTGAAACTTAAAAAAACTGCCAAACAAAAATACTGTATGGGCAAAACTGCCCTTCAAAAAAGGAGAAATTAAGACTGTCCCTGACAAACAAAAGCTGATACAGCTTATCACCACTAGACCGGCCCTACAAGAAAGGCTAAAAGGAGAAACAAAAGGATGATAAATAGCAACACAAAACCACAAAATATGAAACTCTATGGTAAAGGTCAATATTTAGAATATTATAAAATCCTATAGTATTGTAATGAAGGTATATAAATAACTTGAAAATCTAAATTTCAAAAACAAAATTTAAACAGAATTTAAAGAAGAAAAGCATAAAAAGTAACTATAAATCTATGTTAAGGATATACAATATCAAAAGACATAAAGTTTGTGGGGAGGAGGTGAAATATGTAAAGAAATAGAGTTTTATATACCACTGAAGTTAAGTTGTAAACAGCTTAAAATAAGTTGCTATAACTTTAGTATGCTTTATGTAGTTGCAATGGTAACCACAAAAATAGCATCTATAGAATGCACACAAAGGGAAATGAGAAGGGAATCAGAACATATCACTACAAAAAAAAAAAAAATCAACAAAACACAGAAGAAGCCAGGAAGAGAGGAAGGGAAAAACAGAAAAGCCACAGGACAAAGATAAAAAGGTAGCTAGCCAAATGACAACAGTAAGTCCTTCCCTATCAGTAACTGCTTTAAATGTAAATGGATTAAATCCCCTAACTAAAAGATATAAATTGCTGAGTGAATAACACATACAGAATCAACTATACCTTATCTATGAGACTCACTTTAGATCTAAGGACACACATAAGCTGAAAGTGAAAGGATGGAAAAAGATATTCCATAAAAACGGGAACCCAAAGAGAAAAGGGGTGGCCATAATTACATCAGACAAAATAGACTTTAAGACACAAACTGTCACAAGAGACAAAGATGGACATTACATAATGATAAATGGGTCACTTTACCAGGAAGAAATTATAACTTCATATGGACCTAATATTAAGCTCCTAAATATATGAAGCAAACACTTACAGAACTGAAGGGAGGAATAAACAGCAACACAGCAATAGTAGTAGACCACCACCCCACTTAATGGTGTTGGGGAGGACATGGAGAAATTGGAATCTTGGTGTACATTGATAGAAATGTTAAAAAACAAAAAGGTCTAGTTACTATGGAAAATGACATGGAGGTTCCTCAAAAACTTAAAAATAGAATTACCATTTGACCCAGAAATTCCACTTCTGAGTATATGTCAAAAAGAACTGAAAACAGTATCTTGAAGAGATATTTGCACAACCATGTTCACTGCAGCACTATTCACAATAGTCAAGATGTAGAAACAATCCAAATGTCCATCAACAGATGAATAAAGAAAATGTGATATATATACCCAACAAATTATTATTCAGCCTTAAAAACAAAAAAGTCCTGTTGTATGCTATCATATGGATGAATCATGAGGAAACTATGTTACATGAAATAAGCCAGTCACGGAAAGAGAAATACCACATGATTTCACTTATACAAGGTATTTAATGTAGTCAAACTCATAAAACGAGAAAGTAGGTTACACAGCGCTGGGGTGAAGGGGAAATTGGGAGCTGTTGTTTAATGACTATAGAGTTTAAGTTTTGAGAAGTGAAAAAGTTCTAGAGATCTGTTGCACAACAAACCACAAACAGTTAACACTTACTGTACTATATATTTAAAAATGGTTAAAATCATAAACTTTATGTTATGTGTTTTTAATCACAATTTTTTAAAAAACTCAGCACAAGAAGTAAAGTCCTGAACCATACCACCTCACACCTAAGAGGACGGCCATAATAAAAATAAGCTTTTTTAAAATGGAAATTAAGTGTTAATAAGGACGTGGAAAAACTGGAACCTTTGTATGTTGCTGGTGAGAATGTAAGTGCAGCCACTATGGAAAACAGTCTCATAGTTCCTAAAAGCTAAACACAGAATGACCATATGGCTCAGCAATTCCATTCTGAGATATATACCCAAAGGAATTGAAGGCATAGACTCGAACAGATACGCAGATGCCAATGTTCACTGCAGCATTATTCACAATGTTGGAAAAGTAGAAATAATCCAAATGCTCTTCAACAGATGAAGGACTAAACAAAATGTGGTATATACACATAACGGAATATTACTCAGCCATGAAAAGAAATGAAGTTCTGATACATGCTACAACATGAACAAACCTTAGAGACATTATGCTAAGAGTAATAAATCAGACACAAAAAGAAAAATACTGTATGATTCTACTTATAAGATATCTTGAATGGGTAAATTCCTAGACATAGAAAGCAGATTAGAGGTTACCAAAGGTTTGAGTTACGGAGGGTAGGAAGTTATTGCTTAAAGGTTAAGGTGTTTCTGTTTGGAGTGAGGAAAAGGATTTGGAAATAGTGTTGATGGTTGCACAATATTGTGAATGTAATTAATGCCACTGAATTGTACACTTAAAATTAGTAAAATGGCAAATTTTATATTTTATAATAATTTTTAAAAATTATGTAAGAAGCCAAAAACCATTTGCTTGTACACTTCAAATGAGTGAAATGTAAGGAATATGAACTAAATCTCAATAAAGCTCTTTAAAAAAAAAATTCGACTCTTCTTTTCATTACACATTCCACTCTTCCTCTACGCTGTAGCTTAGGTCTCATCCTAACATGCACCCTGGCTCATGTCTGTCGCAGCACAGATAACCACGCTGAGTTTTAGTCGTTTGTCTCCCCCACCAGACCTTCAGTTTCTTCAAGGCACACATTGAGTCCTTTGAATCCCCAGATCCAGTGTCTAACCTAGTGGTTTGTATAGTGTGTGCTCAATAATTGTTTGTGAGATTCAT
Organism: Homo sapiens; assembly: GCF_000001405.40. Lineage (NCBI taxonomy): Eukaryota > Metazoa > Chordata > Mammalia > Primates > Hominidae > Homo > Homo sapiens. The sequence continues at coordinate 155,279 of NW_017852928.1, forward strand.
AAATTATTAAATGATTTAGATTGCAGGGTTGATCCAAGATTTGTATTCTTCCGTACAAGGAATGAAACTGTATTACTCATGTTAGTCACATTAGTCACTTGGCTTAATGTCAGATTTTTGCAAATCCAAAACAAAGGAAAAAATCTCTAGAAACACCTTTTAAGGTGAACAACTATACCTAACTTTGAGTCTACTCTTCATTAACAAAAGCAATTCCCAAGAAAATCTAATACAAAAGTGACCCCATGCATATTCACACTCAAGTTACTTGAAAGTTCAAATAACACATGCTTGAATTTACTTCTGGTCACACACTGTTTTCTGGTATATATCTACTTCTTCATATAAAGTCCAATTCTAACAAGATCTAACTGCATTTTCCAATTCAAAAGATTTCTACAAACTCACCTCATACACAGCAAGATCTATGCCTGCATAAGGTATGATACCTAATAAATTGGGAACATAGCCTTTGTAAAAAGCTCCCAAGCCTTCATGTTTCAAAATCTTCTTGGCACAATCATATATTCCAGAGTACTGCCCAGTTTTGCCTACAGCCAGCCTGGTTTTCATAACCTGGATATAAAAAAAAACAAAATATGATTGTTCATATTAACTCTATCATCATGGGATTCAAATGAAGTAATTTTACATGGAACAAATACCTAGCACATATTGTCACTCAAAAGACTGTACAATTTGTTGATACATTCTCTTTCATGTATTACCTCTATTGGGGGGCTAAGACCAAAGCCAGAGAGACCCGTTTACTGCAAGGAGGATCTGATGAAGGAAGTGACCAAGGAAATGGAAGCAAGATAATCTATTGATGTCTTAACAAAACTGACTGGTGACCACCTGCATCTGGAAGGTGAGGGAAATGGTAGTATAAAGGATAACCCCAATACTTCTAGCTTGGAACACAGGATGGGGCAGTGGGGAGTTGGGAAGGTGATACTATTAACTGATATGGAGGATATGAGAGGAAAAATAGGTATTAAGTTTTTTTGAGAGGTGTGTGGAGTAATATAAACAATCATATTAAGATGCTTAAAAAAAGCTGTATTAGCATGCATACCACATATCGGTGAAAATTGTATTTATCTTGCTTAAGTCATCAGTTACTAAAAACCCCTCTGCTATATCAATAAATTCCACATCTACAATATTATTTTTGCTATAAAGCAGTAGTTGGAAAACTTTTCCTGTAAAGACTAAATAGTAAAATATCTGTCGTTGCAAGCCTAAAATATTAGGTCTCGGTTGTATATTACTTTTCTTTTCTTTTGTTTTTGCCTACTTTTTAAAAATTGTACTTTAAGTTCTGGGATACATGTGCAGAACGTGCAGGTTTGTTACATAGGTATACACGTGCCATGGTGGTTTGCTGCACCCATCAACCTGTCACCTACATTAGGTATTTCTTCTAATGCTATTCCTCCCCTAGCCCCTCATCCCCAAAAAGGCCCCAGTGTGTGATGTTCCCCTCCCTGTGTCCATGTATTCTCATTGTTCAACTCCAACTTATGAGTGAGAACATGTGGTGTTTGGTTTTCTGTTCCTGTGTTAGGTTGCTGAGAATGATGGCTTCCAGCTTCATCCATGTCCCTACAAAGGACATGAACTCATCCTTGTTTATGGCTGCATAGTATTCCATGGTGTATATGTGCCATATTTTGTTTATCTAGTCTATCACTGATGGGCATTTGGGTTGGTTCCAAGTCTTTGCTATTGTGAACAGTGCTGCAATAAATATACGTGTGCATGTGTCTTTATAGTAGAAAAATCTATAATCCTTTGAGTATATAACCAGTAATGGGATTGCTGGGTCAAACGGTATTTCTGGTTCTAGATCCTTGAGGAATTGCCACACTGTCTTCCACAATGCTTGAACTAATTTACACTCCCACCAACAGTGTAAAAGCATTCCTATTTCTCCACATATTTGCCAGCATCTGTTGTTTCCTGACTTTTTAACTAACTGGCGTGAGATGGTATGCCATTGTGGTTTTGATTTGCATTTCTCTAACAACCAGGGATGATGAGCCTTTTCTCACGTTTGTTGGCTGCATAAATGTCTTCTTATGAGAAGTGTCTGTTCATATCCGTCACCCACTTTTTGGTGGGTTTTTTTTTCTTGTAAATTTGCTTAAGTTCCTTATAGATTCTGGATATTAGCCCTTTGTCAGATGGATAGATTGCAAAATTTTTCTCCCATTCTGTAGGTTGCCGGTTCACTCTGATGATAGTTTCTTTTGCTGTGCAGAAGATCTTTAGTTTAATTAGATCCCATTTGTCAATTTTGGCTTTTGTTGCCATTGCTTTTGTGATTCAGTCATGAAGTCTTTGTCCATGCCTGTGTCCTGAATGGTATTGCCTCGGTTTTTTTCTAGGGATTTTATAGTTTAAGTCTATGTTTAAGACTTTAATCTATCTTGAGTTAATTTTTTCTTTATAAGGTGTAAGGAAGGGGTCCAGTTTCAGTTTTCTGCATATGGCTAGCCAGTTTTCCCAACACCATACATTAAATAAGGAATCCTTTCCCCATTGCTTGTTTTTGTCAAAGATCAGATGGTTGTAGACGTGTGGTGTTATTTCTGAGGCCTCTGTTCTGTTCCATTGGTCTATATATCTGTTTGGTACCAGTACCATGCTGTTTTGGTTACTGTAGCCTTGTAGTATGTTTGAAGTCAGGTAGCGTGATGCCTCCAGCTTCGTTCATTTTGCTTAGGATTGTCTTGGCTATACAGGCTCTTTTTTAGTTTCATATGAAATTTAAGGTAGTTTTTTCTATTTCTGTGAAGAAATTCAATGTTAGCTTGATGGGGATATCATTGAATCTATAAATTACTTTGGGCAGTATGGCCACTGATTCTTCCTATGATATGATATTGATTCTTCCTATCCATGAGCATGAAATGTTTTTCCATTTGTTTGTGTCCTCTCTTATTTCCTTGAGGAGTGGTTTGTAGTTCTCCTTGAACAGGTCCTTCACATCCCTTGTAAGTTGTATTCCGAGGTATTTTATTCTCTTTGTAGCAATTGTGGATGGGAGTTCACTCGTGATTTGGCTCTCTGTTTGTGTATTATTGGTTAATAGGAATGCTAGTGATTTTTGCACATTGATTTTGTACCCTGAGACTTTGCTTTAAGTTGCTTATCAGCTTAAGGAGATTTGGGGCTGAGACAAGGAGGTTTTCTAAATATACAATCATGTCAACTGCAAACAGAGACAATTTGACTTCCTCTTTTCCTATCTGAATACGCTTTATTTCTTTCTCCTGCCTGATTGCCTTGGCCAGAACTTCCAATACTACGTTGAATAGGAGTGCTGACAGAGGACATCCTTGTCTTGTGCCGGTTTTCAAAGGGAATGCTTCCAGCTTTTGCCCATTCAGTATGATATTGGCTGTGGGTTTGTCATAAACAGCTCTTATTATTTTGTTATACATTCCATCAATAACTAGTTTAGTGAGAGTTTTTAACATGAAGTGGTGTTGAATTTTATCGAAGGCCTTTTCTGCATCTATTGAGATAATCATGCGGTTTTTGTCACTGGTTCTGTTTATTGATGAATTCCGTTATATTGATTTGCATATGTTGAACAGCCTTGCATCCCAGGGATGAAGCCAACTTGATCATGGTGGATAAACTTTTGGATGTCCTGCTGCATTCAGTTTGCCAGTATTTTATTGAGGATTTTCACATTGATGTTCATCAGGGATATTGGCCTGAAATTTTCTATTTTGGTTGTGTCTCTGCCAGGTTTTAGTATCAGAATGATGCTGCCCTCATAAAATGAGTTAGGGAGGAATCTCTCTTTTTCTATTGTTTGAATAATTTCAGAAGGAATGGCATCAGCTCCTCTTTGTACCTCTGGTAGAATTCGGCTATGAATCTGTCTGGTCCTGGGTTTTTTTTGGTTGGTAGGCTATTAATTACTGCCTCAATTTCAGAACATGTTATTGGTCTATACAGGGATTCAGCTTCTTCCTGATTTAGTCTTGGGAGCGTGTATGTGTCCAGGAATTTATCCATTTCTTCTAGATTTTCTAGTTTATTTGCATAGAGGTGTTTATAGTATTCCCTGATGGTAGTTTGTATTTCTGTGGGATTGGTGGTGATATCCCCTTTATCATTTTTTATTGTGTCTATTTGATTCTCCTCTGTTTTCTTCTTTATTATTCTGGCTAGTTGTCTATTTTGTTAAACTTTTCATAAAAACAGCTCCTGGATTCAATGATTTTTGGAAGGGTTTTTCGTGTCTCTATCTCCTTCAGTTCTGCTCTGACCTTAGCTACTTCTTGTCTTCCGCTATCTTTTGAATTTGTTTGCTCTTGCTTCTCTAGTTCTTTTAATTGTGATCTTAGGGTGTCGATTTTAGATCTTTCTCACTTTTTCCTGTGTTGCCCACTTTTTAAAAATGTAAAAGGCATTCTTAGGTCAAGGGCTGTATGAAACAGTCCGTAGGTCTGTGTTTTGCCAACCTATGCACTAATGAAAGGATGTCTAATTAGGATAATCACCATATAATCAAATCCTGAGATTCCATTATTAAATTTATGGTACAGAAACTCTTTGGACAGGAATGGCAGCCAGCCTCTAAAGTGGCAGCCAGCCTCTAAAGTGACCCCCAGTGATATTTGTCTCCGGTTATTAACACCATTATACCAGCCCCTCCTACACTCTACCAGGGTTGGTCTGTGTGATCAATGGAATACAGCAGAAGAGGCAAAAGATACCAGCTTTCATCTTAGGCACTCTCTCTCTCTCTCTCTGTTGGACCACTGACTCTAGGGAAGCCAGCTACTGTGTTTTGAGGATACTCAGGCAGCCTACAGAAAGGCTCACGTGATAAGGAACTGATGTTTCCAGCCAATAGCCAGTGAGGCCTGGCAGCAACATGAGTGAGCTTGGAATCCGCCTCCAGCTGATTCCAAGCTCTGACTACCATCTTGACTGTGGGCTGTGAAAAACCCTGAGCCAGAGGCACCCAGCTAAGCTGCTTCCAGATTCCTGACCCAGAGAAACTGTGCGATGATAAATGCTTGTTTTAAACTGTTAATTTTGGGATAACTTGTTAGAGAGCAATAGACAACCAACACGAACACCATCACACAGTCAGACTTGACAATGGTACTCACCTCCATTGGATATATAAAAGTCTGTGCAGTTGCTCCAGCCATGGAACCAGAAATAAATCTCTCAAATGTTCCTATTTTTTGTCCTTCTTCAGTAAGTAACTTCTTGTACTGTATAAACAAGTTTTAAAATGCACATTACTACCTGCTGTGGACTGAGCTGCACCCCCACCAAATTCATATGTTGAAGCTGTAACCTCCCATGTGATGGTATTAGGAGATGAGGCTTCTGGAGGTAATTAGGGTTATGAGGTCATGAGGATGGAGCCCTCATGACAGGATCAGTGTTCTTGTAAGAGCAGACACCAGAGAGCCCACTCTCTCTCTCCCCCTTCACATGTGCACCAAGAAAAGACCATGTGAGCACATACCAGCTGTCTACAAGCTGAGAAGAGAACGCTCACTAGAAATCAAACTGGCTTGGCCCTTGATCTTAGGCTTTCCCGCCTCTGAAACTGTTAGAAATAAATTTCCGTTGTTGATTCCACACACACTGTGGTATTTTATGGCAGCCCAAGCCAACTAGACAATCCTAGAATACAAATCAGCTCCTAGAAATCAATAAATTGACAAATGTGATGATGTGTCTCGAAATGTATACACTACATTAATAATACATAGCAGAAGAGCAAGGCCTAAATGCTAATACACGCAGTGACTGGACAGTGGTTTTCAAGTCAGATTTCCACAAAACACAGATGTCTCCCAGATTGGACCAAGTTGCTCCTTTGCTGAAACAGCATAACAGCATCCCTCCCCAGGTGTACAGAAAATACAAGGTTAATCAAGTTTTCACAATGTTTGGATATTTTCCCCACAGTTTTTAAAAGATGAGTTTATTTTCACCAGTGCAAATAAAATGAATAAATAGGTGACAAACAAATATTAACAAAACAATTTATAAAAACAGTTTTTGTAGGTAATACATAGAATTATACTAACCTATCAAGCCCAGCATCTCCCTGGCTATCAGTACTAAAGTGACCCAACATAGCTAACTGGACCAAGGGTATAAATATGACCCCAATACAGCCAAAATAGTGACTGGCCAGTATATTAATATCATGGGATTGAGAGTCAGGCAGACCTGAGCTGGAACTCCAGAGCCACGTGGCCTCGAGCAAGTTCATGAACAGGTCCACATTGTGGTTTCCTTGCCTGTGATAACAGTACTTACCTCACAGGGTTATGGAAAGGATTACAAAAAAATAATACTTGTAACACGGTTAGTGCAGGTCTGAACACCTAGCAAATGTTCAGTAGATGTTATTATTATTATTAATATATGAATACACTATCTTTACACAACTTGCTAAGACATTCTGCCCAAACATAGACCATGGGAATTAGCCAGGCAAGCCAGATTCCTTCTCTCAGAAATGTGAGGGGGTCTCCAGAGGTAAGCAGCTGCTGTCACCAGAGGGACAAGGGGAAAGTCAACAGAGAGAAGTGGACTCATGCATGGAGAAGGGAAGGGGGAAGTCTCACCTCCTGGACTTCTCCAGGGATCCTTCCCCTACATGATCCATCCCCACAGTGATGCCCATTCCTGTGCCAGCCAGTTTCTGTTCCCTGGGATCTAAAGTGCCCAATGCAACAACATACGATGACTTTCTCCTAGCAAATCTGTGTTTTGCTGCTCATGATAAAAATTAAGTATATTATCATTTCATGAGATTCCCAAATACCAGACATTCCTCCCCAGAGAGATCACTGCTTCCAAGGGCTCTGTTTCCTGAACTACAGAGTGTTACATAAAACTCCTCTTCTGCATAGGCCCTATTAATTTTCCTGCATGTCAGATTGTCAAAATCATTAAACATAATTTGCTTAAAAACCTTCCTGCACTTTAACAGTAACTTTGAAGGTACCTTTTATACCCTGGACCCCCACAGCACCTATCAAAAGTACAGAGTAAACGTTTAGTGACTGATGGAGGATAAATATTTAAAGGATAAGTGCTTGAGGCTCCTATTCCCCGAAACATACCATATACAAAGGGAAGACTTCAGGACAGAGCCAAAAAGTCAGGCACTGTGCCTGGTATGTAAAACTATGTCACCAAGCTTAGTCCCCATCTTAGAGATGAGGTAATAGTCACAGAGACTTTAAGTAACTTGCCAAGGCTACAGAACTGAACCTTCCTAAAGGAGACTTAACTGAGCCCTCAAAACCACCCTGAAATCCTTTTGTCTATCTCAGTTCTCTCCCATTTGTTAGACTAACCATTTTGATCTTCTCCATTCTCCTCCAGCTTCCAATACCACTTCCTCCCTCATTCTCAGATCACATCCTTTCTCAGGAGCTCAAGGAAGAGTAGAGAGGCCACCAGGCAGAATATCTTGGTATTCTGCCCACCTCCTGCAAAATTATCCATAGCTACTCACATATTTTTTCTTCCCAAACAGGTATAAGAAGAGTTCTTCTTGTAATCAAAGGCTAATCCTTTTAACAGTCTCTGGATAGAACCTGTCTCCCCCAGCCCCTTTCCATCTCCCACTCCCTTTCCCTACACACAAACTCCCTTGAAACACCTACCGGGTTAATCAACCTCTCTTACCTATGTTTTCAACTTCTTTATTTGTATTGACATGCTTCCTTCAGCAACAGGCACATTAAAGTCAAATCAAAATCCTCCCTCCAGGCCAGGCACGGTGGCTCACTCCTGCAATCCCAGCATTTCGGGAGGCTGAGGCAGGAGGACCACTTGAGGTCAGGAGGACCACTTGAGGTCAGGAGTTTGAAACCAGCCTGGCCAATACGGTGAAACCTCACCTCTACTAAAAATACAAAAATTAGCTGGGTGTTGTGGTGCACTCCTGTAATCCTAACTACTCAGGAGGTTGAGGCAGAAGAATCACTTGAACCTAGGAGGCAGAGGTTGCAGTGAGATGAGATTGCACCACTTTACTCCAGCCTGGGTGATAAAGTGAGACTCCATCTCAAAAACAAACAAACATACAAACAGAAAAAAAACAAAAAAACAAAAAAACAAATCCCCTCCACCCAACATCTTTCTTATCTATCACCCTCTCCCTCTTCTAGTTTCCTTCTCTTCACTGTCAAACTCCCTAAAAATGTGTCTCTACTGTCCAAGTTTCTTCACCTCCCATTCACTTTAAGCTCATTTCAGCATGGTTTCTCATTTCATTACTTCACAGAAGCATTTATACTAAGCTTACCTATCTCTGGGTTGAGAAATCCTAAAAGATATTCTTATTATATTCACTACCCAGTAGCACTGACCCCCATGAAACCGTTTCCTTCCACTGACTCCTATGCCATCCCTCTCTCTGGATTTTCTCCCATCCCTCGAGCTATTTCTTCTCAGTGTCCTTTGCAAGTTTCTTCTTTTACTTCTCCCTTTGGACTTATTCCTAGAATTCTTCTCATTTATAAGCTCTTCTTGAGTGATCCTGCCCATTCCAATGGCTCAACTCAGCAACAACCTCTCTATCAAAGATCTCTCTCTTAATGGCTAGCTGATATATCCAATTGCTTACTGGACAGCTCCCTGTACATGTCCCACACATCTCAAACTCAGCATGCACAAAATGGAACCTGATATTGTATTCTCTTTGAATGCAGTCACTCAAGTTAGAAATTAGAATATCATTCTTGACTCTTCTCTTTCTCACCTCCATATCCAGTCAGTCAGTGAGTTCTGTTGATTCTACTTCCAAAATATTTCTCAGTTCATTCCCTTCTCCATTCCTTAAAGACATCACCTTATACTGGTGTTCATCATTTCTTACCTCAATTATTTAAATATTCTCCCTGCCTCTAGTCTACCTCACTCTCCCCCAACAATGTCTCCACTCTTTTTTCAGGTTGATATTCCTTAAATGTGAATGTACTCATTTCACTTCCCTATATAAGATGCTACAATAGCCCCTACCATATTCAGAATAAAATCCAGACTCCTATTACATTTGGCCCCTGTTTATCTGTCCAGCTCTTTCATCATTATCTTTCCGGAAACACACTCCACCAGTCTTGAGGCACAGTGAACCACTTTCAGTCTCTTCAGTGAGTGATGCCTTCTTGTGCCTACATTTCTGTCCACATGCTGCTCCTTCTGTTTCCAATCCTTATCTTCCCCTTTATTTATTTATTTATTTATTTTTTGAGACAAGGTCTCACTCTATCACCCAGGCTAGATTGCAATGGTGTGATCCCAGCTCACTGCAACCTCTGCCTCTCGAGCTCAAGTGATCCTCCCACCTCAGCATCCTGAGTACAGGCACACACCCCCACGTCCAACTAATTTTTATATTTTTTGTAGAAATGGGGTTTTGCCACGTTGCCCAGGCTGGTCTTGAACTCCTGGGCTCAAGCAAACTACCTCCTAAAGTGCTGGGATTAGAGGCGTGAGCCACCACGCCCGGCTCCCCTTCATCTTAATGGCTTGAGATTGAGGCAAGCTTGAGCTCTAATTCCAGTCTGTCAGTTCTGTCTTTTCATTTACTTAATAAGGGTTTCCTGGCACTGGGCAAGGTGCTAAGAATACAAGTAGCTACTGCCTAAGGAAGCTCACAGTCTCACAAAGCAGATAAGTACAGAGAACGTCAGAATTCAATGTGAAAGTGCTGTAACAAAAGGAAACTAGAACAGAAGGCTTCCCAGAGGAACTAACTCCTGAGTAAGTACTAAAGGGCATTCCCCACCATATGACATATAGAAAGAGGAAGGGTGTCTGTCTGTGTTGCTGGAGCAGGGTCAGGAGACAGGGAGTAGCAGAAAGATGACCATGCATGGTGGCCATATTGAGTGGGAGGCACTCCTGGGTCATGCAAGCAGAGATGCTGAAACACACAGTACACAGGTAGACCTACAGTGTTGAGATAAAGAGGAAGATGTTGGAGTGGAAAGCAGTCAGTACAGAGATGGCAGCTGAAACCACAAGAACACTACCCCACACTACTACACTGTCAATGATACAATGACACTACTATGGTAATGACAACCCACAGAGAACACAGGTTTACCCCATACTGATGATGTGTTTGACAGAGCTACATATCAGGTTGAAAAGATCTTTTTCTTAGTTTCCTAAAGTACTAGCTATTCAAGGAACAAAATCTATCTGAATCTAAAAGTGACCTAGTTACATACTCTGGGAAATTTGAGAATATATACAGCCTATTTACCCCGAAGTAATTTACAATCCACTGGGAAAACAATGGGTTTTCCATCATCCAATGAAAAATGGGATATTCTGCAATTCAGCACTCGAGGGAGGCTGGACAGGGGAGGAACTGGCTTTGATTGAGATGCTTAGGATATGCTTGTCACAGGAAGGTGGCTTTTAGAGAGCCCCGAGGGATGAATGGACCTTCAGCAGGAGGAGAGAAAACAGCACCATAGGTCCAGAGCCCATAAGAAAACTACACCACACTGTGTAGACAGCTTTCTCTTCATGTCTAAGAAAGTTAGTGTGCAGAAATCACAATACTATAAAGAGGTCTCAGGAAGGAGCTTGGGTGGACAGAAGCAGAGGATGCCTGTTGGTGGTATCCAAGGTAAGAATCTGACAAATGGCATAAAGCAAAATGTGCATATTTGCTTGCAATACCCATGGACTTTTTCAAAAATACCAAACTTCTTGCATACTGAAATAACTGCATTGAGTATTTATTTATTTTAGGCTGTGGCTTTCCTATCATAAAATCCAAGTATGTGGTCAGAATAACCTAAGGGTATCTCAAACATTAGCCCTTAATAATCATGATTTGAATCTTCAAACCTTCATATAAGGAAAATAGCCTTCCCAAGGATAGGTTCTAATTAAAATCCTGGAGACTAGATTTTCTTTAATTTTTTTTTTTTTTTTTTTTTGCTTCTCTATTTCCTAGGCAAAGAAAAGGATACCACTGGACTTCGTAATCTTCTCAAGAGTATTCTGTTGCTCAAGAACAAAACACTCTCCAGAATAATCTAAAATCTACATGGAATAATACAAAAACTATGGGGGGGGGAGTTGAATTTCAAGGCCCTTACAGTCCTTGATAAACAATGATGGAATAAATAATGGAAAACATAATCTGTGGCTGCTCAACTAGACAGTTCTGCTAATGACCATAAAGAGAACCCAAACTCTAAAACTTACCTCTGTATTTCCCCTTTACATTGAGTTAGGCTGAAGCAATAGCTCAAATAATCCAAGTTAACAAAAGCCGACAGAGAAGTGATTCAGAGGTAAATGCATTTGTTCATTCATTGACTCATTCAACACTCGCTTGAAACTTATCACATGCCAAGCTCTGTCTAGGTGCTGGAGTACATGGGGAAGAAGCCACGCCCCTGCGTTCATGGAGCTGTCACTCCAAACTCAGCTCAATTTTACAGCAATGTCAAATTACACAAAGGACTTCAACTTATAAGTTTTCCTTCCAGAGGTTAGATTGTGACACTTTCATAAAACTTATGTTAGTGTGCTGCTTCTGCTCAGGATTCAGAATGAATAAACTAAAATTATACCCTTCCTTTAAGAACTACTTAGAAAAAAAAAACTTTATAAATAATATGATGAATTAAGAATCCCATAACTTGGTCATGAGAAATCTCTGATTTTATTTAGTCTAATCTCCTATAAGTGATCCTCCTTATGGAGTATATGTGAAAGATTATCATGTATTAAAACAAGAATCCCAAAAGCATTATACATTAACATTTATTGAATCCGTTTACTAACTCCTCTTTGTTAATAAATTCCACGGGTGATAACAATTACCTGTTCATATGCCCAGAATTTAACAGCTGTCTCAGGAGCAATTTTGATGACGTTTGTACCATTTCCCCTCCAAAGCGAGCGGATACCTCCTTCTTTTACCATCTGTCGAAAGCCACCAAATATGTTCATTTTGTCTGATTTTGAACCGTGAACCTAAAAATAAAAGCAGAATGATATAAAATGCTGGTGGCATATTACTATTACTTTTTCTAGAACAACCACACAATCTTTTTCAATACCGTTTCTAACTGCAAGAAGATATATTTGAAAATAAAATATAGAAAGGTTGAAAAATATATATAATGATGAGAGGGAGTATTGCCATGATTTTAGAGGCCTGTCTCTGACTCTAAAACTAAGAATAATTGGTATCTTCAGTGTGAGAAAGCAGAGAGAGAAGACAAGAAGAGTATTAAAATTATGAACAACCTTCATAAGATAATATTAACTAAATTATGTATCAGGCAATGGAACACCCTTTGAAACATGAACAAGCTCAGTTAAAGGGAAATAAAAAAGTATACTGCAAATAATAATATTATATTATTACATATAATTTAATGTATGTATATTATTACATATAATTTAAAGTAATATGTTACTCCCTCTCCTCAAGAAGTAGTACAGACATGAACTGTAAATGGGTCTGAAATGGTTTGGATATTGTGTATATCAGGGCTACCAACACTGGAATGCATACAGCCTGAAACCAAAAATAAAAATTGCACCCTCTTTGGCATATTTTGAGGCCCTCTCTAGGCAATAAATTCATTACAACATGTACCCATCCTGTGAGTACTGATAAATTACTTGGCTTATACTACAGATGAGGTAGTCACTTAAAAATACTGTACCTTATGACCACCTACAGATAAAAACTGATTAAGTCCAATACACCAAAAATAATTAAACAAATCAGCTATTCTTCTGATTGTTTCAGCTCACATAAAAGGGGTGACTACCACTAAACACACACACACACACACACACACACACTCTCACAGAACGGGTTGAATTCTGAAGGCCAGCCATGTGGCCAGTATGAAAACGGGCCCCAATAAGAACTCTGCACACCAAAGGCTCAGGTGAGCTTCCCTGGTTGGTCTGCAATATTCCATGCCTAGTGCCACATAACAGTGCCAGGAAAGTAAGACATGGAGACTCCACAGGGAGAGGACAACAGAAGCTCTGCCCTATGTGCTTCTTTACTTGACTGATTTTCATCCGCATCTTTTCCCCGTAATAAACCATAACCAGGGGTAATAAGCTTTCAGTGAGTTATGTGAGTCTTTCTAGAGAAGTATCAAACCTGAAGGTTGACTTTGGAAACTCCTCAAATTTGCAGAAACTAAATTCCAGAGAAATCCATTTTATTTTAAATAAATAAACTTCACAATAAAATAGGACAAAGGAAAAAATAAATGCTTATTCAAGTTCTCTAAAAGTCAAGTTACTACTGTTCCTAAAGAAAAACACACACCAATCCCTTCTCCTTTTTCTTTAAAGCATTAGCTTTGCCCCTAAATAAATTTTGAGATTTGGGTACATTCTGAAGGAATGCTGGCTTAAAACAGTGTCAGAATCTTTTTGTACAGAAATCTACAGACAAATATAAAAAGTGTTGACCATAAGTATAACAAAGTTTTAAAAATATTTTGTAAACAACTACTATGTTCCAATAGGTTATTCCAGTGTACCAGACATTATCACATACCTGATATTGCTTGATTCTTAAACCATTCTTATTAGATATTCTTATCCCCATCCCAGAATGAAGGAAAATGAGACCTCAGAGGTTTCATGCAGCATGAGAACCAGGAGCACTGGAGGCAAAGATACTGCATTCCCCCTCTCATTTGTTGTAAAGGAAAAGTCAATTCTCTGGGCCTCAGATTCCCCCTGGAAAAATGATAAAATACCTACTTCACTGGGCTGCTGCAAGGATTAACTGGGTTACCACAGTGAGCAAATACATATTAATTCTTTTCCATTCCCTCTTTCCACTCTGGCCAGCCCAATGCTACACTGCTAGTAAATAGCAAAGTCAGTCTATAAAGCCAGATCTTTTTCTGCTAACCTCAGCTTTAGAATAATTTTCAAAATTACATTGCTGCTCTAAGAGTCTAGATTTCAAAAATACTTTACTTTTGATAAAGTATATTAAAAAGAAGGAAACTATAAATCAGGAGAATCCTACAACAATAGCTAGAGATATTTTTTGAATTAAATGTTTGAATAGTCATAGAATGCCAAAGATTAAAAGTTCATTACACACATGTACTAACAATTTAAGGTTTGGTACACTGCCATACTTACATGGACTGAATTTAGAGTTAACAGCAACAAAATAGATTTATTTTTTAGGGTATAAAAGATTATTACTGAGAAATTTTAAAACTTCTTTTTCAAAGCACCACATTTCTCATTGTTTTAGAATATTTAGGGCAAACCTGGACACACGATAATAAAGCTCACCTGCATCATGATTTTCAGACGGTCCAAAGGGGCAGTGCTTGTTCGAGAGACAGCACCAGCAATGCCTCCTGCCAAAAGCTGCCTCCACCATTGTCCGGATTTTTTTTCGTCTTCCGTGAATTCATCTGGAATAGTTAAGCTATCCCCTATGTCAATTCCCTGTAAAAATGAAAAAAAGATCCCCATGCGCCTTAGTTAAAAATAATCCCAGAAGACGTTTTGTTTTAGAGAAGAATCATGTTATTTTACAGTTAATATGAACTTCATTCCCTAGAATTTATACTAAACCAATTTGAGTACATAGATTATAAGTTGTCTACTCACAATGAACAAAGTACAGTATCAGTTCACAAGAAATGAAAATAAACAGTAATTACAAATATACAAAACCAACAGTTACAACTTTCTTTCATTCATCATAGATTCACAGTATGTTTTCTCTTGGTCTAGGTTAGAATGAAAGGGCAGCATTTTATCATAGTCAATCTTTTTTATTGCAACCATTTTTCATAAGGCTAGAAAACCAACTGGTGATGACATCTTTTAAGAAATTAGTTCATCAATTCTTAAACAATACTTCCTTTATCTCAAATTTATATCCACATCATATTTATACCATGATATGTTTTAAATATGTAAATAAAAATTAAAACTGTATGTGAATACCCCTAAACTCATTTCCTACTGTTTATAAAAATATTTTTATAAATCTGACTTATCATTTAAAACATGCAATAGATTCTATATAAAATTTAGCTAATGGAGAGGTATTGTTTCAAATCATCACCCCTTCAACCTATTCTACATTACTATAGTTTGAGAGAAACAATTCTATAATAATATTTTTACAATTCTATTATCTAAATTGTTTTGGCAGAAAAATTTTTACAGGCAAGAGTGCAACGGGGAGGAGCTCTCCTATGGTAGTAACCCTCCCTTCCTTCATTTTACTATCAATAAAATGGAGATACAATTGTAGTCTCAACTGTTATCAACTACCTTAAAAAATACCGTAAGAATTATGTAAATAAAACTTCACATAGTGTACAATTTATCTAGGCAACTGAACTACTAGTATAATATTATCTTATACTCATAGCTGAGAAGGCACTAATCACCAACAATTTTATAATGCTTTATGTAAGCTTAGGCATTGTTACTAGTGGCAATGTGAACTCCTGACTTCATTTAATGCATATTTAATTTAGTCAAATCTGAAGTGTAGAAGACAAGCCCATAAAGAAAAAAAAAAAAAAAGGCCGGGCACAGTGGCTCACGCCTGTAATCCCAGCACTTTGGGAGGCGAGGCGGGCGGATTACAAGGTCAGGAGATCGAGACCATCCTGGCTAACACGGTGAAACCCCGTCTCTACTAAAAATACAAAAAAAATTAGCCAGGCGCAGTGGTGGGCGCCTGTAGTCCCAGCTACTCCGGTGGCTGAGGCAGGAGAATGGCGTGAACCCCGGAGGCCGAGTTTGCAGAGAGCCGAGATCGCACCACTGCACTCTAGCCTGGGCAACAGAGCAAGACTCCGTCTCAAAAAAACAAAACAAAAACAAAAACAAAAACAAAAAATAAATAAAACTCCTTCAGAGAGTTCCTAAGGGTTTCAGGAGCAGTTTGCACAATAATAGAACTTGGTTTACATCAGTATGCAGAATATTAATGAAACAATCAAAATTTGAAAGTTTGGTGGAAAACAAACTGGTATGAAATGCTAAGCAGATGAAGCAAAAAGATTCTGTAACCTTTAATGAATATTGTTAAGTGCCTTATGCCAGAGATAAACATAATCTGACCAAACAAGGACACAGATCCTTAGCAACCATGAGGTGCTGAGATTATTTGGACAATATAGTACCTATAAAAAGTAAAAGCCTACAACTTTTACACTTCCCTATGGCAGAATACTTAAATGCCAATAAAAGCTAGACAGCTTATTCATCAAGGTGGTACTTCTTCCAAGTTTTCAGAATGGACATTTATGCAGTCTTGGGTTGTTTTTTTTTTTTTTTTTTTTTTTAATTGATCATTCTTGGGTGTTTCTCGCAGAGGGGGATTTGGCAGGGTCACAGGACAATAGTGGAGGGAAGGTCAGCAGATAAACAAGTGAACAAAGGTCTCTGGTTTTCCTAGGCAGAGGACCCTGCGGCCTTCCGCAGTGTTTGTGTCCCTGGGTACTTGAGATTAGGGAGTGGTGATGACTCTTAACGAGCCTGCTGCCTTCAAGCATCTGTTTAGCAAAGCACATCTTGCACCGCCCTTAATCCATTTAACCCTGAGTGGACACAGCACATGTTTCAGAGAGCACAGGGTTGGGGGTAAGGTCATAGATCAACAGGATCCCAAGGCAGAAGAATTTTTCTTAGTACAGAACAAAATGAAAAGTCTCCCATGTCTACCTCTTTCTACACAGACACAGCAACAATCTGATTTCTCTATCTTTTCCCCACCTCTCCCCCTTTTCTATTCCACAAAACCGCCATTGTCATCATGGCCCGTTCTCAATGAGCTGTTGGGTACACCTCCCAGATGGGGTGGTGGCCGGGCAGAGGGGCTCCTCACTTCCCTGTAGGGGCGGCCGGGCAGAGGCACCCCTCACCTCCCGGATGGGGCGGCTGGCCGGGCGGGGGGCTGACCCCTCCACCTCCCTCCCGGACAGGGTGGCTGCCGGGCGGAGACGCTCCTCACTTCCCAGACGGGGCGGCTGCCGGGCGGAGGGTCTCCTCACTTCTCAGACGGGGCGGCCGAGCAGAGGCGCTCCTCACATCCCAGACGGGGCGGCGGGGCAGAGGCGCTCCCCACATCTCAGACGATGGGCGGCCGGGCAGAGACGCTCCTCACTTCCTAGATGGGATGGCGGCCGGGAAGAGGCGCTCCTCACTTTCCAGACTGGGCAGCCAGGCAGAGGGGCTCCTCACATCCCAGACGATGGGCGGCCGGGCAGAGACACTCACTTCCTAGACAGGATGGCGGCCGGGCAGAGACACTCCTCACTTTCCAGACTGGGCAGCCAGGCAGAGGGGCTCCTCATATCCCAGACGATGGGCGGCCAGGCAGAGACGCTCCTCACTTCCCAGACGGGGTGGCGGCTGGGCAGAGGCTGCAATCTTGGCACTTTGGGAGGCCAAGGCAGGCGGCTGGGAGGTGGAGGTTGTAGCGAGCCGAGATCATGCCACTGCACCCCAGCCTGGGCACCATTGAGCACTGAGTGAACGAGACTCCGTCTGCAATCCCAGCACCTCGGGAGGCCGAGGCTGGTGGATCACTCGCGGTCAGGAGCTGGAGACCAGCCCGGCCAACATAGCGAAACCCCGTCTCCACCAAAAAAATACGAAAAACAGTCAGGCGTGGCGGTGCGCGCCTGCAATCGCAGGCACTCAGCAGGCTGAGGCAGGAGAATCAGGCAGGGAGGTTGCAGTGAGCCGAGATGGCAGCAGTACAGTCCAGCTTTGGCTCGGCATCAGAGGGAGACCGTGGAAAGAGAGGGAGAGGGAGACCGTGGGGAGGGGGAGAGAGAGGGAGAGGGAGAGGGAGAGCTGTTTTTTTTTGTTTAATACTCTATAAATCTATGCCTAATAGAATAAATAGAACTCTACAGGTTAAGGAGCTACTGGGACTCAGGTATCCTGGCCCATAAGTGTTACAGAGTGTTCTTGGGTGATAACTGTACCTATGGTTTATAGCTCCAAATAAGTATAAATACATAAAGTAGACTTACTGTAGAATGTTTCCAGAAACGGATAATTTCCTCAATGTCTGTAACAGGATTAAATAAGAAGTAGTCTCTCCATTCATTCCAGTCCACTGTCATTGTCCCATCAACATCAATGCTGAAATTTTAAAAAAATGATCAAAGTACAAAACTAAATTGATAAATAAAACTAACATTATTGGCCACTTTACAGAATGACAGTTTCTTTTCTAACATAATATTCTCATTAAATTAAAAAACCCCATCCACAAATATAGGTTGTTGGAAATGGCAGCAAGCATTTTATGGTCCTGTCAGATAGTTTTAATTATCTAGATAAAAATGGGCCCAAAAATTACAGCCAGCTCACTAAAGAATACTTTCAGCACTCTGTCAAACTCTGCCAATGAGCTACAAAACACAAAAACTTGAAGATAAAATATTAAACGATGGTAATGAATAGATTCATTATCCATTTTTTTCATGCACTTAGTGGATCATGAAGATAATTCTTAATGTTCTATTGCAACATTTGAATGTAGTTTTGAAATATACTCAAAACATGCTATCAACTTCCTCGAAGTTAGGAAAATTAACAGCTATTATAAAAAATCAAACTGTCAGTGACTGTGCCTTTGAGTCTTTTTTTTTTATTATTATACTTTAAGTTTTAGGGTACATGTGCACAATGTGCAGGTTAGTTACATATGTATACATGTGCCATGCTGGTGCGCTGCACCCACTAACTCGTCATCTAGCATTAGGTATATCTCCCAATGCCATCCCTCCCCCTCCCCCCACCCCACAACAGTCCCCAGAGTGTGATGTTCCCCTTCCTGTGTCCATGTGTTCTCACTGTTCAATTCCCACCTATGAGTGAGAATATGCGGTGTTTGGTTTTTTGTTCTTGTGATAGTTTACTGAGAATGATGATTTCCAATTTCATCCATGTCCCTACAAAAGACATGAACTCATCTTTTATGGCTGCATAGTATTCCATGGTGTAAATGTGCCACATTTTCTTAATCCAGTCTATCATTGTTGGACATTTGGCTTGGTTCCAAGTCTTTGCTATTGTGAATAGTGCCACAATAAACATACGTGTGCATGTGTCTTTATAGCAGCATGATTTATAGTCCTTTGGGTATATACCCAGTAATGGGATGGCTGGGTCAAATGGTATTTCTAGTTCTAGATCCCTGAGGAATTGCCACACTGACTTCCACAAGGGTTGAACTAGTTTACAGTCCCACCAACAGTGTAAAAGT
This sequence comes from Homo sapiens, assembly GCF_000001405.40. NCBI lineage: Eukaryota > Metazoa > Chordata > Mammalia > Primates > Hominidae > Homo > Homo sapiens. The sequence continues at coordinate 174,591 of NW_017852928.1, forward strand.
GTTCCTATTTCTCCACATCCTCTCCAGCACCTGTTGTTTCCTGACTTTTTAATGATTGCCATTCTAACTGGTGTGAGATGGTATCTCATTGTGGTTTTGATTTGCATTTCTCTGATGGCCAGTGATGGTGAGCATTTTTTCATGTGTTTTTTGGCTGCATAAATGTCTTCTTTCGAGAAGTGTCTGTTCATGTCCTTCACCCACTTTTTGATAGGGTTGTTTGTTTTTTTCTTGTAAATTTGTTTGAGTTCATTGTAGATTCTGGATATTAGCCCTTTGTCAGATGAGTAGGTTGCAAAAATTTTCTCCCATTTTGGAGGTTGCCTGTTCACTCTGATAGTAGTTTCTTTTGCTGTGCAGAAGCTCTTTAGTTTAATTAGATCCCATTTGTCAATTTTGGCTTTTGTTGCCATTGCTTTTGGTGTTTTAGACATGAAGTCCTTGCCCATGCCTATGTCCTGAATGGTAATGCCTAGGTTTTCTTCTAGGGGTTTTATGGTTTTAGGTCTAACGTTTAAGTCTTTAATCCATCTTGAATTGATTTTTGTATAAGGTGTAAGGAAGGGATCCAGTTTCAGCTTTCTACATATGGCTAGCCAGTTTTCCCAGCACCATTTATTAAATAGGGAATCCTTTCCCCATTGCTTGTTTTTCTCAGGTTTGTCAAAGATCAGATAGTTGTAGATATGCGGCGTTATTTCTGAGGGCTCTGTTCTGTTCCATTGGTCTATATCTCTGTTTTGGTACCAGTACCAACTGTTTTGGTTACTGTAGCCTTGTAGTATAGTTTGAAGTCAAGTAGTGTGGTGCCTCCAGCTTTGTTCTTTTGGCTTAGGATTGACTTGGCGATGCAGGCTCTTTTTTGGTTCCATATGAACTTTAAAGTAGTTTTTTCCAATTCTGTGAAGAAAGTCATTGGTAGCTTGATGGGGATGGCATTGAATCTGTAAATTGCCTTGGGCAGTATGGCCATTTTCACGATACTGATTCTTCCTACCCATGAGCATGGAATGTTCTTCCATTTGTTTGTATCCTCTTTTATTTCATTGAGCAGTGGTTTGCAGTTCTCCTTGAAGAGGTCCTTCACATCCCTTGTAAGTTGGATTCCTAGGTATTTTATTCTCTTTGTAGCAATTGTGAACGGGAGTTCACTCATGATTTGGCTCTCTGTCTGTTGCTGGTGTATAAGAATGCTTGTGATTTTTGTACATTGATTTTGTATCCTGAGACTTTGCTGAAGTTGCTTATCAGCTTAAGGAGATTTTGGGCTGAGACAATGGGGTTTTCTAGATATACAATCATGTCGTCTGCAAACAGGGACAATTTGACTTCCTCTTTTCCTAATTGAATACCCTTTATTTCCTTCTCCTGCCTAACTGCCCTGGCCAGAACTTCCAACACTATGTCGAATAGGAGTGGTGAGAGAGGGCATCCCTGTCTTGTGCCAGTTTTCAAAGGGAATGCTTCCAGTTTTTACCCAGTCAGTATGATATTGGCTGTGGGTTTGTCATAGATAGCTGTTATTATTTTGAGATACATCCCATCAATACCTAATTTATTGAAAGTTTTTAGCATGAAGTGTTGTTGAATTTTGTCAAAGGCTTTTTCTGCATCTATTGAGATAATCATGTGGTTTTTGTCTTTGGTTCGGTTTATATGCTGGATTACATTTACTGATTTGCGTATATTGAACCAGCCTTGCATCCCAGGGATGAAGCCCACTTGATCATGGTGGATAAGCTTTTTGATGTGCTGCTGGATTCAGTTTGCCAGTATTTTATTGAGGATTTTTGCATCAATGTTCATCAAGGATATTGGTCTAAAATTCTCTTTTTTTGTTGTGTCTCTGCCTGGCTTTGGTATCAGGATGATGCTGGCCTCATAAAATGAGTTAGGGAGGATTCCCTCTTTTTCTATTGATTGGAATAGTTTCAGAAGGAATGGTACCAGTTCCTCCTTGTACCTCTGGTAGAATTCGGCTGTGAATCCATCTGGTCCTGGACTCTTTTTGGTTGGTAAGCTATTGATTATTGCCACAATTTCAGATCCTGTTATTGGTCTATTCAGAAATTCAACTTCTTCCTGGTTTAGTCTTGGGAGGGTGTATGTGTCGAGGAATTTATCCATTTCTTCTAGATTTTCTAGTTTATTTGCATAGAGGTGTTTGTAGTATTCTCTGATGGTAGTTTGTATTTCTGTGGGATTGGTGGTGATATCCCCTTTATCATTTTTTATTGTGTCTATTTGATTCTTCTCTCTTTTTTTCTTTATTAGTCTTGCTAGCGGTCTATCAATTTTGTTGATCCTTTCAAAAACAACCAGCTCCTGGATTCATTAATTTTTTGAAGGGTTTTTTGTGTCTCTATTTCCTTCAGTTCTGCTCTGATTTTAGTTATTTCTTGCCTTCTGCTAGCTTTTGAATGTGTTTGCTCTTGCTTTTCTAGTTCTTTTAATTGTGATGTTAGGGTGTCAATTTTGGATCTTTCCTGCTTTCTCTTGTGGGCATTTAGTGCTATAAATTTCCCTCTACACACTGCTTTGAATGCGTCCCAGAGATTCTGGTATGTTGTGTCTTTGTTCTTGTTGGTTTCAAAGAGCGTCTTTATTTCTGCCTTCATTTCGTTATGTACCCAGTAGTCATTCAGGAGCAGGTTGTTCAGTTTCCATGTAGTTGAGCGGTTTTGAGTGAGATTCTTAATCCTGAGTTCTAGTTTGATTGCACTGTGGTCTGAGAGATAGTTTGCTATAATTTCTGTTCTTTTACATTTGGTGAGGAGTGCTTTACTTCCAAGTATGTGGTCAATTTTGGAATAGCCGTGGTGTGGTGCTGAAAAAAATGTATATTCTGTTGATTTGGGGTGCAGAGTTCTGTAGATGTGTATTAGGTCTGCTTGGTGCAGAGCTGAGTTCAATTCCTGGGTATCCTTGTTGACTTTCTGTCTCATTGGTCTGTCTAATGTTGACAGTGGGGTGTGAAAGTCTCCCATTATTAATGTGTGACTTAATTATTAATTAAGTCTCTTTGTAGGTCACTCAGGACTTGCTTTATGAATCTGGGTGCTCCTGTATTGGGTGCATATATATTTAGGATAGTTAGCTCTTCTTGTTGAATTGATCCCTTTACCATTATGTAATGGCCTTCTTTGTCTCTTCTGATCTTTGTTGGTTTAAAGTCTGTTTTATCAGAGACTAGGATTGCAACCCCTGTCTTTTTTTGTTTTCCATTTGCTTGGTAGATCTTCCTCCATCCTTTTATTTTGAGCCTATGTGTGTCTCTACATGTGAGATGGGTTTCCTTAATACAGCACACTGATGGGTCTTGACTCTGTATCCAATTTGCCAGTCTGTGTCTTTCAATTGGAGCATTTAGTCCATTTACATTTAAAGTTAATATTGTTATGTGTGAATTTGATCCTGTCATTATGATGTTAGCTGGTTATTTTGCTCGTTTGTTAATGCAGTTTCTTCCTAGTCTCGACGGTCTTTACATTTTGGCATGATTTTGCAGCGGCTGGTACTGATTGTTCCTTTCCATGTTAAGCACTTCCTTCAGGAACTCTTTTAGGGCAGGCCTGGTGGTGACAAAATCTCTCAGCATTTGCTTGTCTGTAAAGGATTTTATTTCTCCTTCACTTATGAAGCTTAGTTTGGCTGGATATGAAATTCTGGGTTGAAAATTCTTTTCTTTAAGAATGTTGAATATTGGCCCCCACTCTCTTCTGGTTTGTAGAGTTTCTGCCAAGAGATCCGCTGTTAGTCTGATGGGCTTCCATTTGAGGGTAACCCGACCTTTCTCTCTGGCTGCCCTTAACATTTTTTCCTTCATTTCAACTTTGGTGAATCTGACAATTATGTGTCTTGGAGTTGCTCTTCTCAAGGAGTATCTTTGTGGCGTTCTCTGTATTTCCTGAATCTGAATGTTGGCCTGCCTTGCTAGATTGGGGAAGTTCTCCTGGATAATATCCTGCAGAGTGTTTTCCAACTTGGTTCCATTCTCCCCGTCACTTTCAGGTACACCAATCAGACATAGATTTGGTCTTTTCACATAGTCCCATATTTCTTGGAGGCTTTGCTCGTTTCTTTTTATTCTTTTTTCTCTAAACTTCCCTTCTCGCTTCATTTCATTCATTTCATCTTCCATCGCTGATACCCTTTCTTCCAGTTGATCGCATCAGCTCCTGAGGCTTCTGCATTCTTCATGTAGTTCTCGAGCCTTGGTTTTCAGCTCCATCAGCTCCTTTAAGCACTTCTCTGTATTGGTTATTCTAGTTATACATTCTTCTACATTTTTTTCAAAGTTTTCAACTTCTTTGCCTTTGGTTTGAATGTCCTCCCATAGCTCAGAGTAATTTGATCGTCTGAAGCCTTCTCTCAGCTCGTCAGAGTCATTCTCCATCCAGCTTTGTTCCGTTGCTGGTGAGGAACAGCGTTCCTTTGGAGGAGGAGAGGCACTCTGCTTTTTAGAGTTTCCAGTTTTTCTGCTCTGTTTTTTCCCCATCTTTGTGGTTTTATCTACTTTTGGTCTTTGATGATGGTGATGTACAGATGGGTTTTTGGTGTGGATGTCCTTTCTGTTTGTTAGTTTTCCTTCTAACAGACAGGACCCTCAGCTGCAGGTCTGTTGGAGTACCCGGCTGTGTGAGGTGTCAGTGTGCCCCTGCTGGGGGTGCCTCCCAGTTAGGCTGCTCGGGCGTCAGGGGTCAGGGACCCACTTGAGGAGGCAGTCTGCCCGTTCTCAGATCTCCAGCTGCGTGCTGGGAGAACCACTGCTCTCTTCAAAGCTGTCAGACAGGGACATTTAAGTCTGCAGAGGTTACTGCTGTCTTTTTGTTTGTCTGTGCCCTGCCCCCAGAGGTGGAGCCTACAGAGGCAGGCAGGCCTCCTTGAGCTGTGGTGGGCTCCACCCAGTTTGAGCTTCCCGGCTGCTTTGTTTACCTAAGCAAGCCTGGGCAATGGCGGGTGCCCCTCCCCCAGCCTCGCTGCCGCCTTGCAGTTTGATCTCAGACTGCTGTGCTAGCAATCAGCGAGACTCCGTGGGTGTAGGACCCTCCGAGCCAGGTGCAGGATATAATCTCCTGGTGCGCCATTTTTTAAGCCCGTCAGAAAAGTGCAGTATTCAGGTGGGAGTGACCCGATTTTCCAGGTGCCGTCTGTCACCCCTTTCTTTGACTAGGAAAGGGAACTCCCTGACCCCTTGCACTTCCCGAGTGAGGCAATGCCTCGCCCTGCTTCGGCTCGCGCACGGTGCGCACACCCACTGACCTGCGCCCACTGTCTGGCACTCCCTAGTGAGATGAACCCGGTACCTCAGATGGAAATGCAGCAATCATGCGTCTTCTGCGTCGCTCACGCTGGGAGCTGTAGACCGGAGCTGTTCCTATTCAGCCATCTTCGCCTTTGAGTCTTAAGAAATCCTGGCACCTCATTTTCAATCTTAAAATTAACATACTGTACTCAAATATTTATCATTAATATTTGGCTTGTTTTACAAGTTTCTTGGTAATTAATGCCATTTGTATCTGTTTTCTCCTAAGAGAAACTCTGAGTGTACCAGGATTTTGACTGTTTTATTCCCTTCCTTGGGCCACCTCTTACAGCTGCTGGCACAAAGAAGGTGCTCATTTATTTATTGAATTAATGGATGTCTCTAAAAAAAGCTTTGGTGCATCCTACAAATTTTATTCTATAATTAGTATGAAAATGATGCAAAAGGATGGCAGTCAAATAAAATGCAATTTTCAGATATTCATTATTGTGTTTTCTAGTGTCACTTTTTATTTTGACTTGCATATGGGAAATTACACTTAAACTTTCATTTGTCCCAGCACAGAGGTATATCTGCATGAGAGTCCTAGTCACTACTTACATTTATAATATAACTCTGGGTTGCAATATTTATAGGTTTATTTATGTCACTATTTTCTATTTTAATGTAATTGTTGTTTGACCCCACCACCCAACTCCCCACACATAAGCATCCTCCACAAGGCAAGGATTTTTTTTAATTTCATTCAAAGTTATAACCAAGGTTTCTAAACCAGTGCCTGCCACTGAGTATTTATTGAATAAATAAATGAATTACAAACTCTGTAGCTTAAAACCACAGAACATTTAGGGTATTGACAAACTTCCTAGATAAGATAGTCTTGCTGTGGGTATAACTTGCATTTCCCTTCAAATTACTAAACGTGTTGAGCATCTCTTACCATGTTCATTTGCTACTGCTGTTTCCTTCACGTGAAATATGCTGTTCATGTCTTTGCCCGTTTTTCTAACCGGTTGTATGTCTTTTTCTTATTTACATAGTTCTTTATATCATTCATTCTAATCCTTCAAGTTATAAGCTGGCAAATACCTTCTCTTTGTCTTTCCACTCTATGCTGTCCAAGTACAGATGCTCTTGATTTTAACGCAGCTGAATTTAATCTTTTTAATGCAGCTGAATTCAATCTTTTCATTCCTATGTATGGCCTTTTGTGTCTTCTTTTTAAAATAAATTCTTCCCTACACTGAGATAAAGATATTTCTTCCCCACCACCTCAAGCTGTTATAGTTTAACTTTCACGTTTAGGTTGGTGTTTGTGTACGGTAAGAGGCAGGTATCCCAATTTCCTTTTTGTCTGCATGAGCACGAGCATCATCTATTGCACACACTCTCCTTTTCCCAAAGTTTTGCAAAGCTACTTCTTTCACGTGACAAATCCAAAATATGGATGGGTCTGTTTCTGGGCTCTCTATTATGTTTCACTTGTTAACTTGTCTGTTTCTGTAGAAACAGCACTGACTTGGTTATGGCTTAATAACAACCCTTGGTATCTGATAGGGCAGGCCCCTGGCTCCTTACAGTTCTTCAGGAATGTCCTGGATATTCTTAGGCCTTTGCTCTTTGATATAAATTTGAGACTCAGCTTGACAAGTTCCTCAAAAAAACCAGGTGGGTTTTTTTAATGGCATTGAATCTCTATCACCAATTTGGAGAGAAGGTACATCTTTTCTATACTGAGTCTTCTTTAATGCCTTCTAACAAATTTTGTTAAGCTGCTCTTATGAATGCATTGATTGTGGTATATTTTTTAAAATGGCTGATTCAGTTTGCTAATATTTTCTTTAAATTTTTACATATAAGTCATAGGTATCTTGGCCTCTAATTTCCCTGTTTCATATACTGTCTGCTTTTGGTGTTATAATGATCTCCTAGAAAGGATAGGACAGTGTACTTCTACACTCTGGAAATGTTTGTACATCTGTTCTTTAATCATTTGCAAGAACCATCTGGGGCTAACGTTTTGTTTATGAGAAAATTTTAAATTACTGACCCAATCTCTTCAATTGCTTAGGTACTATAAGCTGTTGCTTCTTCATTCAGTCCCAGTAAGTTATATTTTTCTAGAAATTCACCTACTTTGTCTGTTTTCAAATTTATTGGCATTAATGATTCATATTATTTTATTAGTTTTTTAAAAGTCCTTATGTGCCTATTTATAACTGAACATGATTTATTTACATCTCATTTCTCTTTTTTCTTCATCAATCTTTCCAGAGGCTTGTCTTTTCCAACAGTTTCTGGCTTTGTTGATCCTGTTACTGCATCTTTGCTATATATTCTTTATTATCTCCTTCCTCCTACCTTCTTCGAGATTATTCCATTTTCTCTCCCCTAACTTAGCACATTAATTTTCAGACTTAATTCTTTTCTAATAAAAGCTTTCAGACTATAAAATTCATACAAGTTCCATCTTAGAAATATTCCATAAGTTTTAATGTTTTCAAGTCAACGTGTCCTTGAATTTCCACTTACGATTTCCTTTGACCCATAAGTTGAGAAGTGTATATCACACTTTAAAATATTGGCATTTTTATAATTTATGTCTGTAATTAACTTCTATTTTAATGCATAGTGGTCAGAGAAAGCAGTTCTTGTGATACCAGTTCTTTGAAATGTGTTGAACCTGGCTTTATGGCCTACTATGAAATCAATTTTTATACATGTTCCATAAATACCTAAGAAAAAATATTTTTTCTAATTTTTTGATGCTAGGTCCTATTACATGCCCATTAAATCAAGCTTATGTATTTAGAAGTTTTTGTCTTCACTAAAGTTTTTCTCTGCTTGACCTATCAAATACAGGAAGAATTGTGTTAAAATCTCTCACCACTATGATGGATTTGCCAATTAATCCCCAGAATTTTATCAACCAGCTTAAAAACTGTATATCCTCATACTGAATTTTAAAATGTAGTGACACTCTATTTTTATTAATGTTTTTACTATATAATCTTTTATTAATAGATTATTAATAATAATTAACAGTTGATATTAACATAGCTACCCCAGCTTTTTTTCAGTAAGACTTTTATTTTGCTTGTTCTTTCATCTGACAATCTCTGCCTTCTGATGAAATTTACATTAATTTTTATTAATTGAAGACTAAACTGAGAAAGTCCTAACTGATCAGAAGGTGATTATCTTCTAACTTACTCGTCACCCACCTCAAACCCCCAGGGAAACAGGATAAGAACGCTATTTAGGCTGCCCCATTTGAGAATGGGGATGAAGGGAAATCATGCCCCAACATTACTGCAGGGCACATTTTAGTGGAGTTTTACTGTACTTGAATTTATTTCTCACATCTTACCTATTGCTTTCTAATTATCTCATTCTTTCTATGTTTTTCCCTCTTCTCTCTACTCTTCATTGGATTGTTTCAATCTTATGTTTATGTATTTATTTTCTTATTCCATTTCTTTCCCCCCTGATTTGGAAGTTATATACTCAACTACTACAGTTTCAATGGTTTACCTTGAAATTTTACCACATATATATAACAAAGTCTAAAGTTAATGTCTGACCCCATCATCCTAAATAAGGTAAGAATTTTAGAACAGTTTAATACAAATCATCCCCTTCCCTCCTAACTTACATACTATTATTGTCTAGTATTGTAGTTGTCCTTTTTCTTAGAACCCACAAATGGGTCATTATTATCATATTCATGGATGTTTCCAACAGACTGCTGAAATAATCCATAGGCCACTAGCTAAGAGGTGGCCCACTATGGTCTAGAGAGTACCAAGAAACACTGTGTGACCCATTCCCCATATATGCTGCCTCCAGGGCTGTATATGTCCTTTCCCCTACCTACCTTCCACTCACCCTTTTCAGTAGCATAATTCTACTCATTCTTTAACATATTCTTCAATATTTTCTGAGAGTCCATTATTGCAACGTGGTGGACATAGAACTGTTAACCAGATACACATGGTCTGTGCCCTCAGTGGGAACAACAGGCATGGCACTAAACAAAAGCAAGCAATACTCAATATTCATTGAGCATTTGCCAGGCATTGTTCTAAGTATTTCACATGTTAACTCATTTAATCCTTAAAACAAGCCCATGTATTTACTATACTCTCCATTTTACAGACAAAGAGAGGCTAAGAATTTTGTTATAGTCACAAGACTAGTAAGTAGAGTAGAATTAAGAGTTTCAACCCAGGCATTCTAACTCCAAACTGTACTCCTAACCACTGAGCTATACAAACAAGTCAAGGATTACAAACCATAAGTGCCATGAAGCACAGAAACAAATTGCATAGTCAAAGAATAACTGGAGTGAAGGGTTCCAAGCTTCTGAACAATTCTGGAGAAAGAAATGTAAAGATATGAAAATGAGAGTAAACAGGGGAAATGAGATGGAGACAAAAGCCTAAAAGAAAAATGAGAGCAGAAGATAATTATGACATATGTGAAACACATGTTTCAGAGGGAATGCCTGCTTCAGCTACTTCATATCTACAGCTTCTACTGAACAGGTGTAAGTAGGAGGCTATATTTCAACTCAGTGACTCCTCTCTTACACCCTGATGACCCAGTCACAGCTGTTTCAATCAACACTGTGTTAGTCTGTTTTGTGTTGTTTTAAACGAACACCTGAGACTCGGTAATTTATAAAGAAAAGAGGCTTATTTGGCTCGCAGTTCTACAGACTGTACAAGCATGGCACCAACATCTGCTCAGTTTCTGGTGAGACCTCAGGAAGCTTTTACTCATGGCTGAAGAAAAAAGGTGAGCAAGTGTGTCAGATGGTGAGAGAAGGACAAGAGAAATGAGATGCCAGGCTCTTATCAACAACCAGCTTTCATGAACTAATAGAGTTCACTTATTACCAAGCCATTAATGAAGGATCCACTCTCGTGACCCAAGTAGTCCCTACTTCCAACACTGGAGGTCATATTTCAACATGAGATTTGGAGGGGACAAATATCCAAACCATATTAAGCACCATTCAGATGTTTTTCCCATGAATTCAAGTTTGGGACACAAAGAGACAGTGAAATGGAAGAAAACAAGCTGACATTTGGAGTGACATGAGTAACACTAATGGCTTAGCACTTGAGGGAAGGTCCATGATGGTTATATAACTACAGGAAACTCTGGTCACATTCTGCCTTTAAAAATTGTTTCTAACACTTTTACTGAAGAAGTATAAACACTAGTAATAATAATAATAATAATAACAATATCCCAAAAGTACAAAAAAAGTCACTAGCCATGAAAGAAATATAAATCAAAGCCATGAGATATCACTTCATACCAATTATATATTAGTCAGGGTTATCTAGAGAAGCAGAAACAATGGATGGTTAAAATCAAAAGAAATCAAAAGACAGTTCAGATATGGTGGCTCATGCCTGTAATCCCAGCACTTTGGTAGGGCAAGGTGGGTGGATTGCTTGAGCCCAGGATTTCGATACCAGCCTAGATGATATGGTTTGGCTGTGTCCCCACCCAAATCTCATCTTGAGTTGTAGTTCCCATAATTTCCATGTGTCACGGGAGACAGCTGGTGGGAGGTAATTGAATTATGGGGGGTGGTCAACCCCATGCTGCTGTTCTCATGATAGTGAGTGAGTTCTCACGAGATATGATGGTTTTATAGGGCTTTTCCCTCTTTGCTCAGCACTTCTTCTTCCTGCCACCATGTGAAGGACATGTTTGCTTCCCTTTCTGCTATGGCTGTAAGTTATCTGAGGCCTCCCCAGCCACGCGAAACTGTGAGTCAATTAAACCTCTTTCCTTTATAAAATACCCATTCTCAGGTGGTTCTTTATAGCAGCGTGAGAATGAACTAATACAGTAAATTGGTACTAGGAGTTGGGTGCTACTATAAGGATACCCAAAAATATGGAACTGACTTTGGAACTGGGTAACAGGCAGAGGTTGGAACAGTTAGGAAGGTTCAGAAGAAGACTGGGAAAGTTTGGAACTTCTTAAAAATTTGGAGAGCTCAGAAGACAAAAAGAGGTGGGAAAGTTTGTAAGTTCCCAGAGACTTGTTGAATTGCTTTGACCAAAATGCTGATAGTAATATGGGCAATGAAGTCCAGGCTGAGATGATCTCAGATGGAGATGAGGAACTTGTTGGGAACTGGAGCAAAGATGACTCTTGTTATGCTATAGCAAAGAGACTGGTGGCTTTTTGCCCCTGCCCTAGAGATCTGTGGAACTTTGAACCTAAGAGAGATGATTTGGGGTATCAGGCAGAAGAAATTTCTAAGTGGCAAAGCATTCCACAGGAAGCAGAGGACAAAAGTTTGTCAAATTTGCACCCTGATGATGTGACAGAAAAGAAAAATCTATTTTCTGAGGAAAAAATTCAAGCCAGCTGCAGAAATCTGCATAAGAAACAAGGAGTGAAATGTTAATCACTAAGACAATGGGGAAAATGCCTCCAGGGCACTTCAGAGGTCTTCAGGAAGGGCCCTCCCATCATAGGCCCAGAGGCCCAGGAGGAAAAAATGGTTTCCTGGGCCAGGCCCAGGGCCTTGCTGCTTTGTGCAGTCTCAGGACTTGGTGCCCTGCATCCCAGCCATGGCTAAAAGGAGCCAAGGTACAGCTCAGGCCATGGCTTCAGAAGGTGCAAGCCCCAAGCCCTGGCAGCTTCCACAAGGTGTTGAGTCTGCGGGTACACAGAAGATAAGAATTAAGGTTTGAGATCCTCTGCCTAGATTTCAGAGGATGTATGGAAATGCCTGGATGTCCAGACAGAAGTTTGCTGCAGGGGTGGAGCCCTTGAGGAGAACCTCCGCTAGGGCAGTGCAGAAGGGAAATGTGGGGTTGGAGCCTTCACACAGAGTCCCCACTGGAGCACTGCCTAGTGGAGCTGTGAAAAGAGGGCCACCATCCTCCAGTACCCAGAATAGTAGATCCACCGACAGCTTGCACCATGCACCTGGAAAAGCCACAGACACTCAACGCCAGCCTGTGAAAAGAGCCAGAAGGGGGTCTGTACCCTGAAAAGCCACAGGAGTGCAGATGCCCAAGGCCATGGGAGCCCACTTCTTGCATTAGCATGAGCTGGATGTGTGATGTGGAGTCAAAGGAGATCATTTTGGAGCTTTAAGATTTGACTATTCCACTAGATTTCGGACTTACTTGGGGCCTGTAGCCCCTTCATTTTGGCCAATTTCTCCCATTTGGAACAAGTATATTTAATCAATGCCTGTACCCTCATTGTATCTAGGAAGTATAATAACTACCTTGCTTTTGATTTTACAGGCTTATAGGCAGAAGGGACTTGCCTTGTCTCTGATGAAACCTTGGACTTTTAGGTTAACGCTGGAATGAGTTAAGACGCTGGGGGACTGCTGGAAAGGCATTATTGTGTTTTGCAATGTGAGAACATGGGATTTGGGAGGGACCAGGGCAAAAATGATATGGTTTGGCTGTGTCCTCACCCAAATCTCATTTTGAATTATAGTTCCAATAATCCCCACATGTCACGTGAGGGACCCAGTGGGAGGTAATTGAATCATGGAGGAGGCTACCCTCATTCTGATGTTCTCATGATAGTGAGTAACTTCTCATGAGATCTGATTATTTTATAAGGGTTTTTTTCCCTCTTTGCTAGGCACTGCTCTTCCTGCCATCATGTGAAGAAGGACGTGTTTGCTTCCCCTTCCACCATGATTGTAAGTTTCCTGAGGGCTCCTCAGCCAAGCAAAAGTGAGTCAATTAAACCTTTTTCCTTTATAAATTACCCAGTCTCAGGCAGTTCTTTATAGCAGCATGAGAATGGACTAATACACCAGGCAACATGGCAAAACCACATCTCTACAAAAAATATAAAAATTAGCCAGGCATTGTGGTACAATGCCTGTAGTCCCAGGTACTCAGGAGGTGAGAGGATCAATTGAGCCAGGGAAGTTGAGGCTGCAATGAGCCATGATTGTGCCATTGCACTCCAGATGGGATGACAGAGCAAGACCCTTTCTCAAAAAAAAAATAAAAATCAAAAAATGAAAAGACAGACAGTAATGAGTATTCATATAGCTATGGAGAAACTGAAACCTTCATTCATTGCTGCTGGGATTATAAAATGGTGCAGCCACTTTAGAAACAATTTGGAAGTTCTTCAAAATATTAAAGATATTTAATTAAATATTAAAGAATCTCTAGACAGGCTGACTGTTGAAGGGCATTCTCAGACAAAGCCAGTCTGCAAAGACTGAAATAAGTGCCTACTTCTTCAAATGCACAGATGTAAACACAAGGCCACAAACATCAACAACAATCAGGAACAAATGACACCACTAAAGAAACAAAATAAAGTACCAGCGACCATCCCTAAAGAAACAGAGATGTATGAACTGACATAGAATTCAAAGAAAGCTCAGCAAACTTCAAGAAAATACAAAGAAACAATTCAATGAAATTAGGAAAATAACGAGTGACCACAAAGAGAAAGGTAATAAAGAGATGAAATAATAAAAGAAAAAATCAAACAGAAATCATGGGGCTGAAAAATACAATGAACAAAATTAAAATGCAATATGGGAGCATCAACTGCAGAAGTGATCAAGAAGAAGAAAGAAACTATGAACTCAAAGACAGGTTATTTGAAAATACACAGAGGAGAAAAAAGAATGAAAATGAATGAAGAAAGCTTACAAGATTTATGGAACAGCATCAAAAGAGCAAAGTTTTGAGTCACAGGAGTTGAAGAAGGAGAAAAGGAAGATAAAAGGGGTAAAAAGCTTAATTAAAGAAACAGTAACAGAAAATTTTCCAAACCTGGAGAAAGAGGTAAATATCTACATGCAGGAAAAGTCCAAGGTCTCTAATCAGATTCAATCCAAACAAGACTACCCCAAGACATATTAAAATCAAACTATCAAAAATCAAAGACAATGAGAGGATCCTGAAAACAGCAAAAGATAAGAAGCAAATAACATATAAGACAGTCCCAATATGGTTGGAAACAGACTGGTCAGCAGAGACCTAACAGGTCAGGAGAGAAAGGGATGATATATTTAAAGCGTTCAAGGAGAAAAATACCAACCAAGGGTAATGTACCCAGCAAAGTGTCCTTCAGAAATGAAGGAGAGATACTTTCCCAGACAAACAATAGCTGAGGGAGATAATCATGACCACACCTATTTTATAAGAAACGTAAAAGGAGCTCCTCAAGCTGAAAGAAAAAGATGCTAATGAGTAACACAAAAACATCTGAAAGTATAAAACTGGCTGATAAAAGAAAGTACACAGGTAAATTCAAAATAATACTGTAATGATGGTATGCAAATCACTTACATCTGTAGTAGGAAAGAGAAAACTATTAAAAGTAATAATAGCTACAATAATTTAAGGGATACACAATATGAAAAGAGGTAAACTGTGACATCAAAAATTCAAAATTTCAGGGGATTAAGTAAAAGTGTAGATTTTTTTGTTTTGGGGGGTTTTTGCAATAAAAATTAAGTTATCAAGTTAAAATAAACTATTATAACTCTTAAGATGTTTTTTGTAACCTCTTGGTAACCACAAACCAAAAACCAATAGGAGATACACAAAAAATAAAAAGCAAGAAATCAAAACATACCACTAGAGAAAATCACTTAACCACAAAAAAAAGACAGCAAGAGAGGAAGAAAAGAATAAAGGATCTATAAAAGAACCATGAAACAATAAGCAAAATGGTAGTACAAAGTCCTTACTTATCAATAATTACCTTGAACATGAATGGATTAAATTATCCAATCAAAAAACACAGTGTCTGAGTGGATTAAAAAAACTAGATCCAACTATATGCTGCCCATGACAGACTCATTTCATCTGTAAAAATACACACAGACTGATGGTGAAGGAATGGAAAAAGATATTCCATGGAAACAGAAACCAAAGGAGAGCAGGAGTAACTTTACTTATATCATATAAAACAAACTTTAAGTCAGAAGTTGTAAAGGAGAAACAAAGTTCCTATATAATGATAAAAGGGTCAATTCAATAAGAGGATATAATAGTAAGTTATATGAAGGTACTTTTACTCCACTCCTCCCATTTTAAATTTTCAGTGTCACAATTTATATATTTTATATTGCATATCCCTTAATAAGTTATGTAGCTATTGTTTTTTATAAATATATATGAACCCAACATCAGAGCACCTAAAGATAAATACCAAACATTGGCCAGGGGTGGTGGCTCACACCTGTAATCCCAGCACTTTGGGAGGCCAAGGCGGGTGGATCATGAAGTCAAGAGATCAAGACCATCCTGGCCAACATGGTGAAACCCCGTCTTTACTAAAAATACAAAAATTAGCTGGGCGTGATGGCATGCGCCTGTAGTCCCAGCGACTCGGGAGGCTGAGGCAGGAGAATCGCTTGAACCGTGAGACGGGGGCTGCAGTGAGCCGAGACCCTGCCACTGCACTCCAGCCTGGTGACAGAGTGAGACTCCGTCTCAAAAACAACAACAACAACAACAACAACAACAAATAAAATAAAATAAAAACCATTAATACGTCTGAAAGGAGAGAGAGACTGCAATACAGCAATAGTAGGGGACTTCAACACCCTACCTTCAGCAATAGACAAATCATCTCAACAGAAAATCAGTAAGAAACATCAGACTTAAACTATACTCTAGAACAAATGGACAGATCAGACATAAAACATTTCACCTAATGGCAAGAGAATACACATTCTTCTCAACTGCACATGGAACATGCACCAGGGGATATCATATGTTAGGCCACAAAACAAGTCTTAACAAATTTAAGCAGAATGAAATCATATCAAGTTTCTTTTCCGACCACAATAATAAAAAACTAGAAATCAGGCCAGGCGCGGTGGCTCACGCCTGTAATCCTAGCACTCTGGGAGGCCGAGGCGGGCAGATCACGAGGCCAGGAGATCAAGACCATCCTGGCTAACACAGTGAAACCCCGTCTCTACTCAACATACAAAAAATTAGCCGGGCGTGGTGGCGGGTGCCTGTAGTCCCAGCTACTCGGGAGGCTGAGGCAGGAGAATGACGGGAACCCGGGAGGCGGAGCTTGCAGTGAGCCAAGATCGGGCCACAGCACTCAAGCTCGAGGACAGAGTGAGACTCCGTCTCAAAAAAAAAAACAACAACTAGAAATCAGTAACAGAGGTGCTTCAGCAAATTCACAAATACATGGAAATTAAACAACATGCTCCTGAATGATCAGTGGGTCAATGAAGAAACTGAAAGCAAAATTCAAAAATTTCCTGAGATGAAAAAAAATGGAAACACATAATACCAAAACCCATGGAACACAGTAAAAGCAATTTTAAGAGCAAAGTTTATGGCAGTAAATGCCTATATAAAAACAAAAAACCTCAAATAAACAACCAAAAAACCCCAATAGACATTTTTCAAAGACATACAAATGGCCAAAAAGTACAAAAAAAAAAAAAAAGCTCGATATCACTAATTACCACAGAAATGCAAATAAAAGCCACAATGAGATATCACCTCATACTACACTTAGAATGACTATTACCAAAGAGACAAAAGATAACAAGTGTTGGCAAGTATGTAGAGAAAAGGGAACTTTTGCACCCTGTTGGTGAGGAGTTAAACTAATACAGCCATTATGGAAAGCAGTATGGAGTTCCTTTAAAAATTAAATATAGAACTACCATATGATCCTGCAATCCCACCACTGTATGTATGTGTGTGTATACATATATATATACACATATATAAAATGAAATCAATATGTCAAAGAGCCATGTGCATTCCCATGTTCATTATAGCACTATTCACGATAGCCAAGATACGGAATCAACCTAAGTGTCCACCAATGCATGAAGAGAGAAAATGTGCTATACATATACAATAGAAAACTATTCGGCCATTAAAAAAAGAAGGAAATCCTGTTATCTGTAACAATATGAATGAAATAAGCCAGGTAAAGACAAATAAATACTGCATGATCTCACTCATGTGGAATCAGAAAAAGTTAATCTCATAGAAGCAGAGAGCAGAATACTTTGGGAGTCGGGTATGGTTTGTGTTAAAGGACACACAATTTCAGCTTGACATGAGGAATAAGTTCAAGAGCTCCACTATACAACATGAAGACTACAATTAATAATAATATATTATATTCTTGAAAAATACTAAGAGAATGGATGTAAAGTGTTCTCACCACAGAAATCATTAAGTATGAGATGTATCATGTTAATTAGCTAGACTTAGTCACTCCACAATGTACATATACTTCAAAACATCATGTTGTACATGATAAATACATGTAATTCTGTCAATTTAAAAATAAATAAATGTTTTAAGTCACTGAATTGTATACTTTAGAAAAGTGAATTTATGGCATGTGAATTACATCTCAGTAAAGCTGCTGGCTAGGTGCGGTGGCTCACTTCTGTAATCCCAGCACTTTGGGAGGCCAAGATGGGTGGATCACCTGATGTCAGGAGTTCGAGACAAGCCTGACCAATATGGTGCAAACCCGTCTCTAGTAAAAATAAAAAAAAATAGCCAGGCGTGGTGGCGCGTGCCTATAGTCCCAACTACTCAGGAGGCTGAGGCAGGAGAATTGCTTGAACCTGGGAGGCGGAGGTTGCAGTGAGCTGAGATCGCACCATTGCACTCCAGCCTGGGCAACAGAGCTAGACTCCATCTCAAAAAAAAAAAAAAGTTACCATAAAATATTTATATTAAAAATTGTGTAGCTACTTTTAAATATCCAACCCTCTGCATTATCCTTTGCTATGGACTGAGCTGTGTCCCTCCCAAATCCAAATGTTGAGGCCCTAACCCACCGTGTGATTATATCTGGAGATAGCATCTTTAGGGGGTAAAGTCAAATAAAGTCATAAGAATGGAACCCTGATCCAACAGGACTATGGCCTTATAATAGAAAGCAAGAGAAAGATCCCTCTCTCTCTCTCTCTCTCTCTCTCTCTCTGCCATATGACAATACAGTGAGAAGGGGTCTATCTGCAAGCCAGAAAGAGAGCCCTCACTACAACCCAACCATGCTGGCACTCTCATCTTAAACTTCCAGCTCCCAGACCTGTGAAAAACTAAATTTCCATTGTTTAATGCATCCAGCCTATGGTATTTTGTCATGGCAGCTAAGCTAATACTTCTTAGTCTATTCTGAAGCTTGGGCTTAGAATTTGCATTATTCCTAAAGCTATCAAAGAAAATATAGGAATATGATTTCTGGCCTAACAGCCAGGGAAACGCCCTCACTTTCCTAGAAGAATATTACTTTAGAAGCAGAATATTATATGCTCTATATCTCACTGTCCAAATTCTGTTTATCTTCTTTTCATGTTTTAGGTTTTCATTTCCTCAGGAAAGCCCTTCTCATCTAGTACTAACAAAAGTCATTACGTGCTCAGCCTTGAGACTTTGAGCCTTCCTCTTGAGCAGCTGTTTGTAAAAGAAATTATGAAGAGAAAGGATGAAAATGCTATTGGCACAGATATAAAATGAGATAAATTCAATAACAAAGCCATTTAGAAAGATTTTTAGACAATGTGAGGACTGAAAATATTCACAACAATATTAATACAATATAATTGTCCTTTTCTGTTTTACGTTATCATAAAAAATCAGTTCCTGCCCTGTGTTTATAGCAACAGAGTATTTGAGAGCACCTGGGCTGCAGAGATTACTGCTCTATCCCATGAAACAAAACATTAAGAGTATAAAAGTCTGACTTAAGTAGTCAAACTGATTGCCCCAGACAATAAGGTTCAAATTTGCATTTCTGTTTTCTGAAAGTTTAAACAGGTATTTCTTTGTTAGCTTGGAGAGCTTAGTAATTTCCCTTTTTTCCAGTCACATCTAGGTTAAATAATGTGATGAATCTGCTAGTCTTCTTAGTTTGAATCAATGAGTTTTACTGTCACATTAGAAATCAAATGGAGAAAAAGCAACACCAAAACTCTTCAGCTCCTCATCTATGGAGTTAAAACCTTACTTCCTGCCATTCCACTATCCTTTGAGGCCTTGAAAGAAAGAGTCCAGTCTGAGCTTACACTTCCCATTCTTACACTTTAGATAAATGTACACATACAAAATGAATGGGAGGAAAAAAGACAAAAAGATCTTGGATATACATAATGAAGACTAGGGAGGTGTTTTAAAGCCACACTTACAAACACAGAGTTCTAATGCAGGATATTAAAGTGAAAGTCAATTGTTGACCAACATGAAGAGCTTACCTTTGAAGAATCAACTCTGCTTGTTGTTCAGAAATAGTCAGACCCAGTGTCTGGAGAGACTGGACAATTTCTGAAGCCTCAATTTTTCCTTTAAAAAAATAAAAAGGGCAAAAAATAAAACTCAGAACTGATAAGAACCACAGAAATTATGAATTTCAAATCTCTCATTTAAGAGAAAGCTTTAAACTGATTAAGGCAAAATTATGCATGTAGGTGAGTTATAGACTTGCTTAAATGCCTATCCCAACATCAATACTAAAAATGTAACAAATACATTAAAAAATAAATACACATTTTTTAAAATTCAGTAATTGTAACAGCCTTATAGATAAATAATATTCCTCCAAAGAGACTGACTTCACAAGTGGCCTTACCAAGTAATGTAATTAAGAAGTAGCAGAACTAAAATCCAAATCAAGATATTCTAACTCCAAGATAAATTCAATTAAAGTAGGATCTATTCATTTTAAAAGTACCTATTTCTACATTTTTAATAAATTACTAGACATTTACTATGCAAAACATCATATATGACTGAGTTAAAGAGAAGTAGTAAATGAGGAAATAGAGCTAAAGCAGACTATTCTTTTAAAAATCTGGCAGTAAAAGGCCAGGCACAGTGACTCACACCTGCAATCCCAGCACTTTTGGAGGCTGAGGCGGGTGGTTCACCTGAGGTCAGCAGTTAGAGAGCAGTGTGGCCAACATGGTGAAACCCCGTCTCTACTAAAAATAGAAAAATCAGCCAGGCATGGTGGCAGGTGCCCATAATCCCAGCTACTTGGGAGGCTAAAAGAGGAAAATTGCTTGAAGCTGGGAGGCGGAGGTTGCAGTGAGCTGAGATCGCGCCACTGCACCCCAGCCTGGGTGACAGAGTGAGACTCCATCTCAAAAATAAATAAATAAAAATAAAAATCTGGCAGTAAAAATAAGGGAGCAAGGATAAAAGAACAACAAAAGACAGAAAATTTTTAATACTAGGGAAATTAGAGCATGTTTGTGGACAGAAGGAGAACAATCAGAAGACAGGAAGAGAAAATAGAAAATAAAATAGAAGCAATAAATGTAAGCACTGCTGTATTTCCTTCTAGCAGCTCACAGGCTCATGAGAATCCTAAGACTACTGTACATGAAAAAGAATGAAACAAAACAAAGTAAGAGAGGGTCTGGTGCTGAAGCAGCATAAACAGCTGACTTCTCCAGAAAAAGAGGAAGACCAAAATTACTGTTAGTGGTGAAAGGATAGACTTTCTTGGAGAAAGGACCCTGGAGAGATGACAGGATTCTGAGAGAATCCTCCTGGGGAGAGGGAAGGAGCAGCATGAGAATCTGGACCATGTAAGGACAGTGAGAGGCAGCATCTGTTAGTAAAGAAATTATGCAAATACCCTTCTGAATATTCTCCTTTAGAAATGCACTCTTAAAGAGATATGGTTAATTCTCATTATTCACAGCAATCATCTTCCATAAAGTTCTATATTCATTGCAAACACTGAATTAGCAAATACCAAACCATTGTTCCTACAGGAAAAACAGGGTTAGGTTCCTGTGAGCCTCTGATTACAACACTTTCATCAACTGATTAATACATAACCATGTCTTATGTCTGTTTCTGTTTGAAGGCACCTCATTTAATGTGTGCTGTTGATTCACTAACATTGAATTTGGGGCAAAGCTTATCAAACGCATATATTTTCTCCATAAGGCATGCTATGGCTTTCTTGCACTTAGGAACACTAGACAGCACTTCAGCACTACCTTTGGGGAACATTTTAAAAAGGAAATTACCAACAAAAATACAAAAATGCAAAAACTGGCACAAAATAGACCTTGAAAGGGATACTTGCTAGTTAATAGTATGAGAGCTGAAACAAGAAGGCAGAGTATTGCCTTATTCTACTAGCTAGGAATGTACATGCTGAGCAACTCAAGTTTTTCACTGCTCTGTGCATGTCCATGAATGCCTGGGAAAGTACTGTGAGTATATATTTTGGGGTTACTTTGGGGATAAATTTTATTGAGTAGGCAAATTTGCAAATACAGAATCCCCAAATAATGAGGATCAACTGTATATGTTTTGCATTAAGGAAGTCTAAAAAATAAAAATATGAACCAATAATGCCACATTGTTTTAAAATACACAAACATGGGAAATTAGGGAAACATTGTGTAGATTTCCTACAAATATACCATCAAAATTTCATCTTTAATTATTGCCTCTGGTTCATTTAGAATTTTATAAAATGAACAATTGATATGTACACTACTTATGCACTGGGATAATTGACCTCTGATTATCTGGCAATTGATCTTAAGGTAGCTCCATCTCTCAGCTACTGCCTACCATAGCAGCACACAGACAATCTGACCTGCAAGACAATCTGAACTGCAGAGGGTCGATGTTGGAATGAAAGTTTGCAGAGAAGAAAGAAAACTGAGTTTTGCTAGAAGACTGGACTAAGGCTAGACTTAGGGGCATATATTGTAAGGCTTATGGGCAACAAATGTTCCAATAGTACTACTTTCCAACCCAAACTCAGCTCTTCCTGGCTGAGAGTCACAGATGTGAATAATCTTCAAAATCATCTAGAGTTTAGTTTGTTTGTTTGAAGGAACTTGCTTTGAATTAAACTTTAATATTCATTGTAAATCAGGGGATGGCAAACTATAACCCTCAAGCCAAATAAGGTGTATTAACTATCTTTGTAAATAAAGTTTTATTGGAAATCAGTCATCCCCATTCATTTACATATTATCCATGGCTGCTTTTGAGGTACAGCAGCAGAGACAAGTAGCTACAACTGAGACCACATGACCCACAAAGCTAAAATATTTATTATCTGGACTTCTGGACAAAAAAGTTTGCTGATCTCAGACATGAACCACATTTCCTCTCAATCTATTTGTTTAACCTGTTTCTTTAATAACAAGTCTGTAAATGAAATGACCTTGACTATTCACAAGTAGGGAGGGATTTGGTGCTGCATTATAATTTTTATAAATTCTCTCTTCCTGTTAAAGGTTACCTCTAGTGATGAGGGCTTCAAGACCCTATTTCCAATTAGAATTAGATAAGGTCTTCAGAGTAGGGCCCCCATGATGGGACTAGTGGCTTTTTAAGAAGAGGAAGAGAGATCTGAGGTAGTGCATTTGCTCTGTGATGCCTGCTAGCATGTTATGACATAGTAAGAGGCCCTCACCAGATTCGGCTCAACTTTGAACTTCCCAGCCTCCAGAACTATAAGAAATAAATTTCATTTCTTCATAAATTACCCAGTCTGTGGTACTCCATTACAGCAACAGAAAACAGATTAAGACAAACTCCAACCTATTAATCGAAATATAGAAGTCATAATCTTAACCAGAAGGTACACACTTAAACGTTTATATGCTATTTTTCCCTAATTTCCAGGATCAGAGATATCTTCTCTAAATTAATTCTTCCAAAAAAACTAACAGATGCAAGATAATCTGAAAGTTTTTTAAATTTTAGATGACACAACTGTCATTCTTCTATACAAATAAAAAGAAATCTCATTTTACCCAGAGGACAAGAAAATATAATTATTATTTTTAACCTACAGGTTTAACTCAAATCAGCATAATGTTCCATAGTTAACATTTACAACAGGCCCTGCCCACAGTTTTTAATTCAGAAATGTAATTCATTACATTTCAAAGTAATGAAAAAGAAAAGCTATCTATAAGTTTTCTTCACTAAATAATATAAACTCTACATAAAAATCACATTACTAAAAAAAAGTATTAACACAAATAATAATTATCATCTAAAACCAGAGAGATTAAATAAGCATCCTTTTAGACTCTTGAAAGCATGATAAATGCTTCTTCATAGCTGGTGATAAATACAAAAGAAAGACACACCATCATTATTTTTGTCTAAACTCTTAAATGCCAATTTCATTTTCTTCTCATGGTCTTTAAGGTACTTCATAAATTCTTCAAAATCCAGCTTCCCATCTTTGTTGACATCTCCAGTAGTAAAAATTTTCTATAAAAAAAAATTAGAGAGAAGTTATTGCCAATATGGGCTGATGCACTAAATTATTTCTACACATATTTCAAGCAGATTAGCTGTTTTCCTAAAAGACTATAGTACCTATTTTTGGCCAGATGTATCATCATTCATTATCGCAAAGATCTATAATAAAAGTAATTCCACTACTGCAAAAAGATTCTGAGTCTTGTGTTAAATTTTCAATCAGAAAAATGATGCATTGATTTTTATAAAACATGACATTTTTAAAGCTAATCTAACCATACCCTAAATTTCTTGACATGTACTTTATAAACCCCAAGATAGAAGACAACCACTTGACCTACCACAGGATTTAAAATATTGCAGCACTTTGGGAGGCTGATGGGGGAGGATCACTTGAGGTCAGGATTCAAGACCAGACTGGACAACATAGTGAGACCTCATCTCCATAAAAAATTTTTAAAATTAGCCAGATGTGTTGGTGCATGCCTGTAAATACTAGCTACTTGGAGGCTGAGGTAGGAGGATCACTTGAGCCCAGGAATTTGAGGTTACAGTGAGCAATATTGCACCACTGCATTCTAACCTGGTGACAGAGCAAGACCCTGTCTCTAAAAAAGAAAGAAAGAAGAAAGCCTAAACTAGTGTTTTCCCCTTTGATTTCAAAAATTAAATAATCTTTTACTAAGGATGATCCATATAAAAAGCTGTCATAGCAAACTGTAAGCCCTCTCCTACCACCACCCAAAATATAACCTATCTACCTATTATGACACTCATAGTCACCCACTCAAAGCTTACAAATTCTACTGTTCTCATGGTCATGCTCTTCTGGGTAAATAATGCCAAGTTGGGCCGGGCACAGTGGCTCATTCCTATAATCCCAGCACTTTGGGAGGCTGAGGTGGGCGGATCACCTGAGGTCGGGAGTTCAAGACCAACCTGACCAACATGGAGAACCCCCATCTCTACTAAAAATACAAAATTAGTTGGGCATGGTGGCGCATGCCTGTAATCCCAGCTACTTGGGAGGCTGAGGCAAAAGAATCGCTTGAACCTGGGAGGTGGAGGTTGCTGTGAGCCGAGATCGCACCATTGCACACCAGCCTAGGCAATAAGAGTGAAACTCTATCTCAAAAAAAAAAAAAAAAATTAAAAAAATAATGCCACATTGTGACTGGATGGTTTCATGGTCATGGTCAGATCTCCAACCTCCAGACTGAGAGACAGATCTGAAACTTGTGAGCTGCAACTAAAGCTACACTTAGAGAAAGATTTCTGGTTTAAAATGCATAATTAGAAAAGAAGAAAGACTGGAAATCGGTGACCCATCATTGAGGCTTATCTCAATCTCAAGAAATTATTTTAAAATTAAGCAAAAAAGAAGTTGAAGGAAATAAAGAGCAAAAAGTAATGAGAAAGAAAACACACCATTGGGAGGATTAACAAAGCCAAAAGATGGTTCTTTGAAAAGACTAATAAAATTGATAAACTCCTAAAACTGGCAAATAACCAATGTCAGAAAGTAAAGATGGAAACTACTAGACACTATAGACATTAATGATATTATGAAAAGCTTTATATCAAAAATATGAAAGTGAGATAACAAACGCCTACAAAAACAACTTATTAAAAACTGACATAAGACAGCAGAAAGTCTGATAGCCCTATACTCAGATTTTAAAGAAATTTAAAGTGTAATTTGAAAACATTTCCATGAAGAAAAATCGAGGACCCCATGGTTTTAACAATAATGTCTACCAAACTTTAAGAAAAAAACACCAATTTTCCAGAGAACAGAAAGGGTGGGAACATTTTCCAACCCATTTTATGAGGCGGGTATACACTTGATTCTAAAACCTAACAGGGACATCACAAAAAAAGGAAAATTACAAGCAATGTCAACTAGTGAAAAAGATGCAAAACTCCTGTATAAAATATTAGCAAATCAAATCTCATAATACACGAAATGGATAAGACATTATAGATAGATATATATATATATATATATATATATTCATGCACTGTATACATTTCAGTCAATGATAGACCATATATATGACAGTGATTTAGTAAGGTTATAGTACTATATTTTCACCATGGAATACTACACAGCCATAAAGAAGAATAAAATCACGTCCTCTGCAGCAACATGGATGCAGCTGAAGGCCATTATCCTAAGCGAATCAACGCAGAAATAGAAAACCAAACACCACAAGTTCTCACATACACATGGGAGCAAAACATGGGGTGCACACGGATATAAAGATGGGAAAAGCAGAAACTGGGGACTACAAGAACGGGGAGGGAATGGACAAGGGTTGAAAAATTATCGATTGGGTACTATGCTCACTACCTGGGTGACAGGGTTCAATTGTACCCCAAACCTCAGCATCATGCAATATACCCTTGTAACAAATGTGCACATACCCTCCAAATCTCAACTAAAAGTTGAAAAAAATTACCATATTTTTACTGTATCTTTTCTATGTTTAGATACACAAATACTTAGTGTGTTATAACTGCCTACGGTATTCAGTAAAGTAACCTGCTATAATCCAAGAGAAAAATGTCACAGCATTCTGTGGCGCCATTTACGTACTGAAGTTTCATCTAAGAGGTTTATATTTTGGCCAATGGAAATATCAGCGAACAAGAATAGTCACCGACCAAAAGGGGCTTGCTGCCCGATGAACTAGAAGTCAATACTATAATACCAGGTGTTGAGAAAAGAAAAGCTTTTTATTGCAAGGTGACCCACAAGAAGACAGGAGTCCAGCTCAAATCTGTCTCCCTATGCTGGCTTTAAGGTAGTTATTAGAAAAGGTTTGGGGGCGGATTCTGGGATTAGTGGGTGATTGGTGGAAGGAAATGGGGAGGTCTCCCAAGTCCTTAGGCATGCATAGTTACCTCTTCATGCTACCTCACAGATCATGTGTGAAAATCCGGGGGGAGTTAGTATAAAATATGTGGTGGAAATTTGGGCTGTAACATCACCAAGTTAGTTCTGTGCAGACTTGAGTTGGCCATATTCATTCCAACCAGTTTTAGCCAGTTTTGTGTTATCTTACAAGTGGAGAGATTTTCAGTGTTTCAGCAAGTTGCTTCTTTTTTAATCTGTCATCCTGAAAACAAGATTTTCTCTTAGTCATTTGTTCCTTTCACTCTTTGGGGCCACAGTTTTCACTAACATTTTGGAAGTAACAAGTTAAAGGACATCCCTGACCCTATTTTTGAACAGTTTTTTTTAACCCATATTTCTGCAGCATTTCTGATGGCAAATCAAGAGTTATGATTGCCTAATGAGTCTGACTTAACAATACAATAGTCCTCCCTTATCCACAGTTTCACTCTCCACAGTTTCAGTTACCTGCGGTCAATCATGGTCTGAACTATTAAATGGAAAACTCCAGAAACAAACAACTCATAAGTTTTAAATTGCACACCAT
The DNA here is from genome assembly GCF_000001405.40 of Homo sapiens. NCBI lineage: Eukaryota > Metazoa > Chordata > Mammalia > Primates > Hominidae > Homo > Homo sapiens. Next base: position 201,548 of record NW_017852928.1, read on the forward strand.
TCTGAGTAGCATGATAAAATCTCTCAACATTCTGTGCCATCCTGCCCAGGAGGTGAATGTCCTTTTGTCCAGCATATCCACACTATAGATGCTACTTGCCTGTTAGTCACTTAGTAGCTGAACCAGTTATCAGATCAAAAATATATAGTCTATGGCTGGGCGCATGGTGGCTCACGCCTGTAATCCCAGCAGTTTGGGAGGCCAAGGTGGGCGGATCACTTGAGGTCAGAAGTACGAGACCAGTCTGGCCAACTTGGTGAAATCCCGTTTCTACTAAAATTTAAAACAATTAGCCAGGAGTGGTGGCACACGCCTGTAGTCCCAGCTACTCCGGAGGTTGAGGCACAAGAATTGCTTGAACCCGGTAGACAGAGGTTGCAGTGAACCAAGACTGCACCCCTGCACTCAGCCTGGGTGACAGAGTGAGACTCCATCTCAAAAAAAAAAAAAAGAGCTAAAGCTAATTAAAGATAAAGTAAAAAAAAATTAAAAAATATATATATATATGTATATATAGAGAGAGTATATATAGGGTTCAATATTACCCACAGTTTCAGGTATTCAGTGGGGGTCTTGGAAAATATGCCCTGCAGATAAAAGGGGACTACTATAATATGAAAGATTAGGAATGGATTCCCCTTTAAATTTTCTTGTATGTTCCTTCTAGAAATAAAAGACCAATCAAATGAGAAAAGTAAAATCTACTTGGCCCGAGTTTGCTATAGCAAGGGAGTCAGACACCCTCACTTGTGTATTGACAGAGACTCAAAGCCAGGCAGAGGAGTGGGAAAGCTTTACAGTGAGAAAAAGGGAAGGCTTCAGGCGTTTCCTGATTGGGGGCTGCTGGCCTGGGGAAGCTGTAGGAGGGTTCATTAGAAACGCGGCACCCTATTTGATTAGTAGGTGGTGCATATTTAGCTTTCTCTGGTTCGTCCTAAGTTGGAAGTGAAGAAAAAAATTAGGGGGGCTGTCGGTTATTAATCAAATTCTGACCATTTGGGGCTGTTACAGCAGTTATTGCATAGCTTTGTGTATTGTCTCTAGAGATAGCAACCTGACTTCCTATAAGTCTGACATAACAGGCTGGTTTCCTGGTCTGTTTATTTTAGATAAAGGGCTGGTTTTCTGGGCAGACTGCTGTAAATTTTGAGTCAAAGTTCTATTTTTATTTATGGTCTGACCATTATCTCTTCGTATATTTAGTTTCTCAACTTTCACAGGAAAAAACAAAACAATATATTGTTCAAAAACAGACTATTTTCACAATAAAAAGTTATTGCTTTTGTATCTTAACACGACAATGTAAGTATCATTTCTTTTTTTTTTTTTTAATCAGTTGAGTTTTGTCTATATAAACAAATTTTCCTACTGGGGAGGTGGAGACGTGTGGGAAGAGACCTCACATCAAAACCTCCTAACGATGTGACTGCCACTTGAGGAAAAGTCACAATGGTGCTCCTCTGAAACAGAATGTTCTGTGTGGTTGGTGCAGAATTCTCTGGGGACACCCCTCCCTTGGGTTTTGACATGTGAACCCTCCTCAGTCACCACTAGGTACACAAAGCGTCCTTGCCAAAAATGCAAGACAGCTCTACAAACCTTTTGTTTCAATAAGGAAGAAATGTGTTTCAAAAGATTCGACTTGATAGCTAACCCAGAATTTCTTATGAAAGGCTAGTTTGTATCAAATAAACAAATACAACTTACACTTGCAAATCTAAATATAAGAGTGTCTTTAAACAAATATGAAGAACACTTAACTTTTTTTTTTTCTTTTTGAGATGGAGTCTCACTCTGTCACCCAGGTTGGAGTGCAGTGATGCAATCTCAGCTTGCTGCAACCTCTGCCTCCCAGGCTCAAGTGATTCTCCTGCCTCAGCCTCCTGGGACTACACACACCCACCACCACACCCGGTTAATTTTTGCATTTTTAGTAGAGATGGGGTTTTACCATATTGGCCAGGCTGGTCTTGAACTCCTGACCCCAAGTGATCCACCTGCCTTGGCCTCCCAAAGTGCTGGAATTACAGGCATGAGCCACTGCACCTGAACAAGAACACTTAACTTTAAAAGGAGAAACACTGCTTTTTTCTAGGAATTAAAAATCCAGATAAGCTTTGCAGAAATAACATTTTGGACTGAATTGGTCCACAGAAAGTACACAGTCCAGGCCTCTGATATAACAGATGAGGATACCAGGGTATGGGGCTTGGAATATAGAATGTGCTCAAACTAGAACTGACCCATGACTGAATGGATGCTTCAATATTCCCAAAGTTCACATGGCTAATAGAAAGAGTTTTACTAAATTTCAACATGACAGAACTCAACTGACAGTTTTTTGGGCACGAAGTACCAATTATCCAAAATAAACTCAATAGTCCACATGCTCATGATCTCCCAGTCTACCGGGTCAAACATCCAAAGAGCAAATATACTTATAAAGTAATTATTATATACAATAATAAATTCCAAATGAAAAATGACTTGGAAATACTGCAATAGGAGTATGTACGAAGCACAACATGCTGAGAAGGAGCCTGTAGGTTAGCCTTCTGGGGAAGAGAAGGGTTAGCCTAAGCTCGGTACTGATAACTAGGGTCTATCAATTAAGGCATATTATGAGGAAACCTCAGCACTAGTGAAACCCGAGAGTAAAAGCCACTTCCACTGCCCCCTTCCAGGAACAGAAACCGAAACATAACATCAGAAAATTTCCAATCACCACCCCACTCCCAAATACACGTAGAGTGATTATTCCAGTTCTCTGAACTGGGGAGGGCGCATCTTTAGCCTAGACGCCCCTCTGGGTGACTAATGACAGGTGAGCACATTGAACAAGGTGACTCCTAAGACAAGGCTGTATGTAGCCAACATCTTGAGAGCAATCTGAAGTTGGAGATTTTACTACAGCCAAGGAGAAAACGGAGAAAAATACTTGAGAAATGTGTTAGCTGTGTTGTTATTCTTAATAAACGGTAACGCTGGTCAACGACCTGAACACTGCAGTGGGCCCAGGTCAAGCTTGACAACATGTAAATTTTGCCCTCTCTGCCCAATGCCTCTCCAGGGCTCCCAGCCCCAACGTCTCTCTGATTACAGCCCCAGTGAGACCCACCTTCGCTTCCTCTAGAGATTGAATGGCCCCTACATCCTCCAGGCCTTCCTGAAGCTCAAAAATGTCCAAGGTCCCATCCTTGTTATAGTCCAGGTACCAAAAGAGATCTCCGTAGAGGGAGTCCATCGAGGATGTCTCCCTCGCAGCTCCGCGGCCTGAGTGAGCCCCAGCGGGGTGGAAGTGCGACCGACGAACGGGATCTCTGCCCACCACACACGTCCAGTGGGAAGAGGCCTAAGACAGCATCCTCCTCAGGGGCGCCAAACACAATGCACCTTCATCGGTTAAAGCTCTGGAAGGAGAGGGCTCATCCTAACGGCTTCAGCGCAAAGGCGCGAGCGCGCAGGACCCGGGACCTGCGTGGGACCGCACTCTGGGCTGCGCTGGGAGACCGCGGAGTTCCTGCCTCACTCACGTCTGATCAGAAGCCCCGGCTCCCACTCCAGGAAGAGTCCAGTCGGGGCAACTCAAGCCCCTTTCCCCAGAAACTTCCAGGGAGAACCCAGCACAGGGCCATCTGAAAGTATAGCTTCTCTTTTGGAGAGAAGTAGGTTGGGAATGTTGGGACATGGGCTATTGCAGCATAAGTGACTGGCGGTGGCGGCCTGCCAACATTTAAAAAAAATTGTTTGGCTGCACCTGTCTAGGAATCCTTCTTTTTAAAAATCCTTATAATGATTTTTTAAAATAAAATAATTTTATTGTAGATTCAGGGGTTACACCATCAGCTTGTTACAAGGGTATACTGTGTGATACTGGGGTTTGAGCTCCTAATCGTGCCATCACCCAGGTTGTGAACAAAGTACCCAGTAGGAAGCTTTCCAGCCCTTGCCCTCCTCCCTCCCTCCCCCCTTTTGGAGTCCCTAGTGTCTATTGTTCCCATCTTTATGCCCCATTTACCCAAGGTTTAGCTCCCCCTGTAAATGAGAACACAGTATTTGTTTTTCTGTTTCTACAATAATTCGTTTAAGTTATTGGCTTCCAGCTGCATTCATATTGCTGCAAAGGACATGATTTTGCTCCTTTTTTATGGCTGCATAGTATTCCATGGTGTGTATGTACCACATTTTCTTTATCCAATCTGCTGCTGATGGGTACCTACATTGTGTTGTAGGAATCCTTTTCTAAGGTTGCAGCACTGGAGAATTGCTGTAATAAAGACTAGGAATTGAATGAAAATCTGCCCACATGGGCCCTTTCTTCTGTGACACCTCCCCTCACAGTTTTTTATCTTTTATCTTCATCCAACCACTACAATGGCTCCAGGGCAAGCCTATCCTTCAGCTGTTAGTGGCTGGATTGGAAAGATGATCTCAAAATAGGCAAAAGTTCAGTGATCTTGGGTCCCAGAGAGAAGTCAGCAGATACTCATAAATACTATCTAAGGCTTCCTCTTAATCCTCACCCTCCAGAACCACAGAGGGCCCTGGCTTCCCCAGACCAACACCTGTGCTCCCTCATCCTGCACCACTGGGAATATGGAGGTGCAGTTTCACAATAAAAACTCTCCACTTTTTATGTAATTTATTTTCCTAAATATGGAGATTGGGTACCCTAAAAAGTTGAATATTAAAATTCAAAAAGAAAATTTAATTTAGCCATTATCTGTAAGCTCTTGCTCTACACTACCCATCATGTCAGATACTGGGGACAAAAACAGACCATCACATGTCCTTGAAATACTCATAGGTTTCCCTCTGGGAGGAGGTTGCACCATGGTTAGTCAAAAAAACTACTGTACGCTTCTCAGTAAACATTTTCCCCCAGAGCTGCTGAGCAGTGGCAAATGTCTAATGCTGTTTCACAAGATGTGCTGTGGCCCAATCAAGAATGAATTCTTTCAAAAAGAGAATTTTATGGTCCACAGGGAATGGTCCTTCCCTGTGCAACACAGAAAATGTAGGTAGTGGCAAAGAGCCACAGAAGGCAGATAGCCAGGCAGAGAATGAGCCTTGGGTTAGAGTCTACAGGACCAAGCAGAAAAGACAGAAGTCGTGGCCAGGGTGATAAGGAAAACAGGCTGACAGCATTTAACAGAATTGACAGGAGAGAACAAACCATAGAGTTGAGAGTTTCATCTAATAAAAGGCAGGTAGTTTTGTTGAATAGCTCTTTCTGCTTTTTGAAATTACCCTGTTCATTATTTGCTTATTATTTTTTATTCCCCATGCACCTACACACACACACAGACCTACTTACTATAGGGAGGGTTTTGAGAATACAATGAAGAACGCTGTCAGTGTTGTTCACCACTATATCCCCAGTTCATTAAACAATGTCTGGCACTGTTTGAAAACATTAAATGAATGAATTTACTATTTATGCTAAGTTACTGGGTAGGTCTTACCATTCCTAGTTAACATTTGAGGCCTCCAGGCATTAAATAACATGCCCAAGGCCACAGTCTAGCAAGCGGTGAAAACATTTGAACCCTGTTCTGATTCCACAGCCTATAATAATAACTATTACATCCACTAAAACAGTTAATGTGTAGTAAACACTATGATCCACGTTTCAGAGTTAGGCTTCAAACTTTCTCAACAAATCCTTTTGTTTTCATAAATCCTGTCAAATATAGATACCTTGGTGGACTCCATTCAATCCTTAAAAAGATAAGATTTTTGAACTCAGCAGGGTCAAAAGAAGTTAAGCAGTGTATTACAGAATGTTGTCTTGTGGAAGCTTCTTTTGTTTTTTCTGGAATACCGATAAAGAAAGTGGGCTAGGAAGATTATAAAGGTGAGTTGGGGCCTTAAACAATGGGCAATCATATACCAGGCAGAGAAGGGGGAATGAGAGAAATCTCAGGCAGAGAGAAGAAAATAAAGGGATCAATGTACATGGCTGTGGCCTAGTCAGGGAATATGGCATGTTGGGAGTTTGGAAAGGTGACAAAAGGCTTAGAATGCTACAAAGATAGAAAGGGTATTTTATACCTTACTAAAGAATTCTTCCATTTTTTTCATTCTTTCAGACACTTTATTTCTGCAGAGAAGGATAACATCAAATTTAGAATATAAATCAGGAGAGAACACAAAAGATACAGATTTTATATATTTTAGAACATTTGACAGAAATGTAGTTGGAATTCCATTGTTTTTCTTATACCATAATCTTTCTGTTGTGATGCCCTAAAATTCACCCTGTGATTTCATATCATGTCTTCTTAATATTGTGCCAGAAACCATAACATGTCTGACAATTAAAATATTAAGGAAATGGGCTGGCCATGGTAGCTCATGCCTGTAATCTTAGCACTTTCAGAGGCAGAGGCAGGCAGATCACTAGAGGCCAGGAATTCAAGACCAGCCTGACCAAAATGGCAAAATCCCATCTCTACTAGAAAATACAAAAGTTAACCAGGTGTGGTGGCATGTGCCTGTAATCTCAGCTGCTTGGGAGGCTGAGGCACAAGAATCGCTTGAATCCAGGAAGCAGAGGCTGCAGTGAGCCGAGATCGCACCACTGCACTCCAGCCTTGGTGATAGAGCAAGATTCTGTCTCCAGAAAAAAAAAAAAAAAGCAATATTAATGAAATAAAAATGAAATGAACCCTCTTTGTTAACAGAGGAATTACTTAATGGAGTGAAATCCTGATTCCACTCAATGCAATAAACATTTGCTAAGCTACTATTCTTCTATGTGACTATTTTTTCTGTGATTGTAAATGTAAAAACTTAAAGACAGAATTAAAAAAATCATAGAATGTAAGAGTTAGAATGGCCCTTAAATCAGGTTACCAGTCCACCCACTCCTCTAACATTGGGTGATCATTCAGCATACACTTCATACCCATGGGCACAGAGGTTCCTCAAGAAGTTCACCAGCTAGTAAATGGGATACCACATTTTAAAGGGTTTTTTAACATGAACTTTCATATTCTGCAACATATGACCTTGTTAAAAGCTCTGTCCAGGATGCAGGCAAGATATCTGCATTTTAAGAATAAGAAAGTAAAGCTCCAGTAAGGCTCAAACTTGACAAGGATTACACGGTCAATTTACACCAAGGACGGAACTCTCTTGTAGCTTGCTGCTTCCCTTCTTGCTCTTGATAATTGTCCTAGTCCAACTGGGCTGCTATGACAAAAATACTATTGGCTTACTTAAAAAATAAGCATTGATTTCTTGCAGTTCCAGACACTGGAAGTCCTAGATCGAAGTGCTAGGAGATTTACTGTCTAGTGAGGACCCACTTTCCGGTTCCATGGACCACTGTTTTCTCACTGTGTCCTCACATGGTGGAAGGGGCAAGGAAGGTCTTCCAGGTCACTTTTATACAAGCACTAATCCCATTCATGAAGGCTCCACAGGAAGAAAGAAGATGGGGGTAGAAGGAGGAAGACAAGAGGGAGAAGGAGGTGCGTAAAGAGAAAATAACTGAAGACTTTTAAAAGGAAATAGGATTACTAGACAAGTATAAGAGAATTAGTAATGGTTAAATACTGTATCTCCTTGTTCTCACACTACATTCTACTCTCAGTCTATACCCTTATACTACTGAGTCCTAGGAGAACTTAATGTGAATTTTCTCTAATTTTTAACTTTAATTTTTCACTAATTTCATAGTGAGGAGATTTGGAACATACAGAAAAGAAAGGTCATACCAGAAAAAAAAATGTAGCGCTTTCACTTCCAATTGGTTCTTAATTTTGTCTCAGGACTTGCCTTGAATTCTTTTCTCTTCCCTGGATAATTCTGGAACACTTAGTAATGGTTAGCTATTATATTCCTTATACCTATTTCTACATTCTACTCTTATTTCTACATTCTTTCCATCTAAAATCTAAAGAAACTTAAACAGAAATTTGTTCTCTTCTAAATGCTCAATTCATTACAAATGCTTGGAAACACGGAGATGAGATCAAATCAGATGAAAATTTATAGAGATTTTGCTTCAAGCTGAGTATTTGGCTTAGATACAAACTACTACCTTGAAACTTTCCACCGAAGAGTCACCCCACAGTTCTCATTTCTATGCTCAAGTAGCCAATGTCCTCACTCCTTGACATTACATAAACCCCTGACATGCCTCTGAAATTTTCTCCCATAAAGGTTGACTGTGTAATCCTAATTCTATCCCATGTGTGATGGTTAATTTTATGTATCAACTCGTCTGGACTAAGGGATGCCCAGATAACTGGTAAAACATGATTTCTGGGTGTGTCTGTGAGGATGTCTCTGGAGGAGGGTAGCATTTGAATCAGTAAACCAATTAAAGAAGACTGCCCTCACCAAATGGGTAGGCATAATGCAATCCTGTGGAGGATGTGAATAGAACCAAAAGGCAAAGCAAGTGCTACGTTTTGTTTGTCCCCACAAAAACTCATGTTGAAGTCTGATCCCTGATGTGGCCGTGTTGGGAGGAGGGACCTAGCAGGAGGTGTCAGGGTTACGGAGGCAGATCCCTCATGAATGGCTTGGTGTCATTCTTGCAGTAGTGAGTGAGTTCTCTCTCTCATGAGACTGAATTAGTTCCCTCAGTAATGGATCAGTTCCCTCGAGGCTGGGTTGCTATAAAGCCAGGACACCCCTCGGATTTTGCTTCTTCACACATGTCCACTTCCACTTTGACTTTCCACCATGTTGTGACACAGCAGGAAAGCCCTCCCCAGGAGTCCAGCAGATGCCAGCACCACGCTTCTTAAACTTCCCAGCCTGCGGAACTGTGAGCTAAATAAATGTCTTTTCTTTATAAATTACCCTGTCTCAGATATTCCACTATAGCAACACTAAATGGACTAAGACAGGAAATGAAAAGGAATTTCACCTGCAGAATAGGAGACTTTACAAAGACTGATACCCTGAATGAGCGAGGATGTGGAGAAGCAAGCACTGTCAGTCAAAAGAGTGAAAATGGGTCTAAGGTTTCCGAAAGGCAATACGTATCCCAGTTTAAAATGTGTGTTACCTTCAGACTCAGCAATGTCCACTCCTCAAAATTTATCTTACGAAAGTAACTGGACCAGAATGAGAAAATGAATACAAAGGACATCCATTGCAATTTCACTTACAATCGTTTTTAAACTATCAATAAAGTAAAAGGTGATTTAAAAAGAATTGGTAACATATACTATGACACAAACATATAACAGAATATGATGCAGTTACGTAAAAATGGTGATACAGCAGCAATTCTCAAGCTTTTTGATCTCAGGATCCCTTTACAATCTTAAAAATCATTGAGCACTCCAAAGAGCTTTTGTATATTGTAGGGACCATGGAGTTGTACCACTGAGATCTCCCTTCAAAGGCACCTACTGTGAGGAACACAGTTGACTTCCACTCTCTAGCCTCTAACCCTGGCATCTGCTGATGCACTGCAGCAAGGTCGTCCCTTTCCTGGGCTGCTTCCAGCCAATGATTGGACATGGTGGGGAACTCCAACTGGGCCATTTCTGGGACAATCAGCACAAAGTACCAAAAGTTGGTTCCTTCAAAGTATGAATAAAATACACAAAACTTTGGCAAGATTGAAGGGGAGAAAAGGATAGATATGAGGAATGAAATAGAGAACCTACCTACAGATTCAGTCAGAAGTGTTATAAAATCATCGGTGAGTATTATGAACCTTGGACAGAACAGGCAGTTTCAAAAAAAATTGTAACTTACTAAATCTGACTCTAGAAGAAACAGTAAACTGAAGAGGCCTATAACTACCAAAGACATTAAAAGAGAAGTGAAATATAACTATATAACAGTTGTTGGCCCTCATAGTAACCTAATCACTTTCCCTCTTTGGATAAGAGAATGCCAGTGTCAGGGAACGCTTCAACAGGGTTGGAGAAGTTCCACATATCTCCACCCTACTAAAGGGGCAGAAGTTCAGGGGCACAGTTAAGATGACTCAGAGAAAATGAAATTGCTCAGTCGCAGGTCAAGTCAACCCTTCAGATCAATTTATGTACCTAGGGCATTAACCTAGGAATGTCTTAAACAATGGAATGCCGCCATTCCTTCTCAACAGGAAGTGGGGGAAACACGCGATTGGTTTTCAAACAGTTTTCAAACAGTAGACAATACACATAGCTGCTGTAACAAAGCAGCTTCGAAAGAGATCGAATGTGTGCGCCTTTATACAAAACTTGGGACCCACTGAAGTCTGACAGCTAAAACGGATTACATGTCTGCAAGGTATTAAAACAGAAAACAAAGAACCTGGGATGGATTCAGGACAAAAGTGTCTTAAAAATTTAACAGTGCCCGTGGGCCAGAGTGTCCACAACACTCATTTTATCTGGACAAATACCAGTAGACTTTCGTATTATGACCCACTTCTGTTACCGGGGTCGCCGGTCGCGGCCCCACGCCCGAGTTTCTGAAGCCACCGGAGCGCTGGGCGCCACAGTTCCTCCTTCCTCTCCTGGCAACGCCTCAAGCCGCCGCCCTCCTCGGTCCTCGCAGTGTCCCCAGCGCCCGCAGCCCTCCCTACGCTCAGGCGGCGCCCCGGCGGCGACCCACCTCCTCGGCGTCCTGGCCCAGAGGGATGCCCAGGTTCCTGAGCCCCTCCTGCAGCTCGCCGATGTCCACCACTCCGTCCCCATTGCGGTCCAGTGCCTGGAAGAGGGTCTCGTAGCGCGTCGGCTGCTCCGCGTCCTGGCAGGCCGCGGTGGGCAGCACGAAGTCCCGCAGCCAGCGCAACATGGTCCCAGAGGCGCAGGCGGCCTGGCCGAGGAAGTCACGGGAGATCGAGGGCTGCGGGGCGAGACCGGGACCAGCGCGAGGCCGGGCTGGGCGGGGCGCGCGGCGCAACAGCGTTTGGGGCGCCGTCGGGGTTGCGGCTGCGGCGCGCAGGGCGCAGGGCGCAGGAGCGGAGACCCCACCCGAGCCCGCGCGGAGCGCAGGGTGTGGCCGTCCCGCCGCTGCTGGGGAGGAGCTCGCCGCGCTGGCCTCGGCGGCACTGGCCGGGCCCGCCTCCAGAGAGCCGGAAGTGAGGGAGCTGGGAGCTGGGTCTCGGGAGGTGCTGTGCGGACCCGGGGTCGACCTCTGCCCAGTTGCCAGTCCCGCTGTCAGCATGCGGGTCCGAGGAAGAGGCCCCCAGCAGGTCCAGGGCTGCAGCGTCAGCGCGTCGGTGGCTTGGGAGCGGGGTCTTGAAGACTGGTTACTCCACTTAAAGACCCTCTCGGGCCGGAGCCTTGGCGGTCAGCCCAGAGCTGCTTCTCTCTGCCTGGAAACTGGGCCATGGAGGGCATTGTCTCTCACGGATGTCTAATTTTTTCGTGGTTGCACACCTGGGATGGCGATTCTGCTTTAAAAAGCAGAGAGTTAAATCCTAAAGCATCTATTGGAGCAATTATAAAACAAAAAGGAGAAACTCCTGGATTTGTTGCAGAAAAGATCAACAGCCATCTGCGTGGGCAACGGGGAAAAGAAGGACTAGTTTGGTAGGCAGCTTAGCTAGGATTTGCCCGTGATTAAGCGTATAGAGTGTCTGCCAGCTGCACTTATCAGAAAAAACCACAGCGCCCTCCTCCTTCTCAAGATGGGTGCAGTTCCGAGGTTTGGAGCTTATTACTCAGGCAAGACAGAACTTATTACTGCCTAGCATGGAATAACGGAAGGAACATTGGACTTAACAGAGAAAGTACCTAATCCTTCAGGTGTGACATAGCGTCTCCGGGTAGTCTCTCATCAGTAAAATGAGAATATAAATATCTGCCTTCACAACAAAGTTGTATATTAGGTGTGAAAGGTCTTAATTCTCTAAGGCGCCAATCAAATGAGATATCATTAATTGTAATAATCCTGTTCATTCACAGCTGCGTAAGAGGAACTATTGTTGTACTGCTGTTTGCAGAAAAGAAGATACCTCTGTACTTGTAAATTAGGGTGTCTCACATCTTCTGAATCACTACACAGAAATCAGTTCCAACAACAGCCAGGAACTCAGACCCTGAACTTACCTCTCCTCATATCATTTTGTATGTTTAAGATATGTATGAATCTAGAATTTGTAAATTAAGGGCTGCCTGCTTAGTAAAATCATCTTGAAACTGATTTATCTTTTTATATTACTTCCAACTTCCAGTCTTATTAAGAATCATTGCCTTCCTTTGGAACTGCCTTCAAACTTCAAATTTTCTCTGTCCTTGAAAACCTCTTTTAATCTCTACTCTGAATACTCTGTACTTGAAGAGAGGTTGCTTGAACTAGTCATCTTACACTTACATGCTTTCATTTTACTTTTTATTTATTTCTTTTTTTTTTTTTTTTTTCTTTGAGACAGTCTAGCTCTGTCGCCCAGGCTGGAATGCAGTGGCACAATCTCAACTCACTGCAACCTCCGCCTCCTGGGTTCAAGCTATTCTCCTGCCTCAGCCTCCTGAGTAGCTGGGGCTACAGGCTATTTTACTTTTTTAAAAAAGTAATACTTAGAAAAATTACCTGTCAGCGTTTTTGCTGAGAAAATTATCTTCACACCAAAACTTTTACTTGAGGGTTTATAGCAGTTCTATTCATAACTGTCAAGCGCAGAAACAAAATGTTCTTTAACGGGTGAACTGGTAAACAACCTGTGTTGCATTCATACAGTGAGATAGTAATTAGCAATAAAAAGGAATGAATTACTGATACCTGTCAACAATGACATTCTGGAAAAGGCAAAACTATAGGGACAGAAAACAAATCAGTAGTTACCAGTTGTGACTAGCGGGAAGGGAATTGATGACAAAAGAGCATCAGAAGGCTTGTGGGGGTGATGGAGCTATTTTACATCTTGCTTTTGGTGGTAGTGGTTACACAACTGCATGTGTGTGCCAGCAGAACTGCACACTAACATGGGTTAATTTACTCTGGGATATCAATAAATCTGACTTAAGCATGAGTAAAATGGAATAAAAATTCTCAAAAGATCAGTGTGAACATCAAAACAGTTTATGAATAGTTATGAAGTATGGGCCACACACCAGCAGCATTGGTGTCACATCAGTGTTACTGTGAAAATCAAAGCGTTTATGAAGTGTGGGCCACAGACCAGCAGCATCAGTGTCACTTGGGAGCTTGTCAGAAATAATCTCAGGCCTGCCCAAGCCCACTAAGTAAGAATTGCACTTATACAAGAACCCTGGATGAGCATTTCATAAAGTTTGAAAAGCACAGCTAGTATGAAGCAAACCACTCGAAGTGCAACCTGTTACCTGTCTGCAATGAGTCAGACATTGAGAGGAAGGATTTAGAAACTTTATAGCAATTTGATAAAGTAATTTTGTTATATCTAATAATAAAACTCAGAGCTTGTCTTTTTAATTTCAATTTTCTAGTATTGCATTTTTACTGTATTTTACGACACTGTGTCTGCAAGGAATCGAGATAACACCATGAAGATAAAAGGTGTAATTAACACTAGCAACTTCCTGCATAAGAGAAGAAACCTTTACATGGACATTTACACATCTGGACGAAAGAAGGCACCCCTGCTTAATTCTACTGGCAATTCCCAAAGACCAGTGGTTCCTAGAGGGCAGTAGTAGAAACCCAGAATTCACACTTCCTTAATTCATTTCCTTGGTCAGAACAGAAGTCTAGGGTTCAGCCCAATTTAGCTACTTCTATTGTCCCCAACTTCTGGCCTTCTAATGTACTACCATTTTCCACTGGAATAACCTTCAGACTTGACCAGTTTCAGTCCTTGAAGACCTCTTTCAGCACCTACTTTGGAATCTTTTCATAATCATTCTGGATTTGGCTAGTTTTAGTTGATAAACACATTTCTTCTTTCTATCCACTGAATCACTTACTTATTGTGTAGTGCTAATAAGACCAAAGAATCTGCCTCTCCACAAGGAACAATTCTATTTCAAAATCCTTCAAGAATATTCAGAAAGGAAAAAAAGATCCTGGTCATTGCTCCCTCAAATTTGAGTAATCACAGCTTAGGCTCTGTAAGAGAATTTGATTGGTTCAGTGTAAAGCCATAACCATTACTGGAAGGATAATTTTTTTTCATTGTACTTTAAGTTCTGGGATACATGTGCAGAATGTGCAGGTTTGTTACATAGGTATAAATGTGCCATGGTGGTTTGCTGCACCCATCAACCCATCACCTACATTAGGTATGTCTCCTAATGCTGTCCCTCCCCTCCCCACTCCCTCCCCTCCCCACCCCCAACAGGCCCCGGCATGTGATGTTCTCCTCCCTGTGTCCATGTGTTCTCATTGTTCAACTCCCACTTATGACTGAGAACATGCGGTGTTTGGTTTTCTGTTCCTGTGTTAGTTTGCTGAGAATGATGGCTTTCAGCATCATCCATGTCACTACAAAGGACATGAACTCATCCTTTTTTATGGCTGCATACTATTCCATGGTATATATGTGCCACATTTTCTTTATCCATTCTATCACTGATGGGCATTTGGGTTGGGTCCAAGTCTTTGCTGTTGTGAATAGTGGTGCAATAAACGTGCATGTGAATGATTTATAATCCTTTGGATATATACACCCAGTAATGGGATTGCTGGGTCAAATGGTATTTCTGGTTCTAGATCCTTGAGGAATCACCACACTGTCTTCCACAACGGTTGAACTAATTTACATTCCCACCACCAGTGTAAAAGTGTTCCTATTTCTCCACATCCTCTCCAGCATCTGTTGTTTCCTGACTTTTTAATGTTCACCAATCTGAGTGGTGTGAGATGGTATCTCATTGTGGTTTTGATTTGCATTTCTCTAATGAACAGTGATGATGAGATTTTCTTCGTATGTTTCTTGGTTGCATAAATGTCTTCTTTTGAGAAGTATCTATTCATATCCTTTGCCCAGTTTTTGATGGGGTTGTTTGTTTTTTTCTTGTAGATTTGTTTAAGTTCCTTGTAGATTCTGGATATTAGCCCTTTGTCAGATGGATAGATTGTAAAAATTTTCTCCCCTTCTGTATGTTGCCTGGTCACTCTGATGATAGTTTCTTTTTCTGTGCAGAAGCTCTTTAGTTTAATTAGATCCCATTTGTCAATTTTGGCTTGTGTCACAATTGCTTTTGGTGTTTTAGTCATGAAGCCTTTGCCCATGCCTATGTCCTGAATGGTATTGCCTAGGTTTTCTTCTAGGGTTTTTATGGTTTTAGGTCTTATGTTTAAGTCTTTAATCCATCTTGAATTAATTTTTGTATAAGGTGTAAGGAAGGGGTCCTGTTTCAGTTTTCTGCATATGGCTAGCCAGTTTTCCCAACACCATCTATTAAATGGGGAATCCTTTCCCCATTGCTTGTTTTTATCAGGCTTGTCAAAGCTCAGATGGTTGTAGATGTGTGGCATTATTTCTGTGGACTCTGTTCTGTTCCATTGGTCTATATCTCTGTTTTGGTACCAGTGCCATGCTGTTTTGGTTACTGTAGCCTTGTAGTGTAGTTAAAAGTCAGGTAAAGTGATGCCTCCAGCTTTTCTCTTTTTACTTAAGATTTTCTTGGCTATACGGGCTCTTTTTTGGTTCCATATCAAATTTAAAATAGTTTTTTCTAATTCTGTGAAGAAAGTCAATGGTAGCTTGATGGGATTAGCATTGAATCTATAAATTACTTTGGGCAGTATGGCCATTTTCATGATATTGATTCTTCCTATCCATGAGCATGGAATGTTTTTCCATTTGTTTGTGTTGTCTCTTATTTCCTTGGCATTGGTGTAATTCTCCTTGAAGATATCTTTCACATCCCTTGTAAGTTGTATTCCTAGGTTTTTTATTCTGTTGGTAGCAGTTGTGAATGGGAGTTCACTCATGATTTGTCTCTCTGTTTCTTATTGGTGTATAGAAATGCTAGTGATTTTTGCACATTGATTTTGTACCCTGAGACTTTGCTTGAAGTTGCTTATCAGCTTAAGGAGTTTTTGGGCTGAGACAATGGGGTTTTCTAAATATACAATCATGTCATCTGCAAACAGAGATAATTTGACTTCCCCTCTTCCTATTTGAATATCCTTTATTTCTTTCTTTTGCCTGATTGCCCTGGCCAGAACTTCCAATACTATGTTGAATAGGAGTGGTGAGAAAGGGCATCCTTGTCTTGTGCCAGTTGTCAAAGGGAATGCTTTCAGCTTTTGCCCATTCAGTATGATATTGGCTGTGGGTTTCTCATAAATAGCTCTTATTATTTTGAGATACGTTTCATCAGTACCTAGTTTATTGAGAGTTTTTAGCATGAATCGGCTGTTGAATTTTATCAAAGGCCTTTTCTGCATCTATTGAAATAATCATGTGGCTTTTGTCATTGGTTCTGTTTATGTGATGAATTACGTTTATTGATTTCTGTATGTGGAACCAGCCTTGCATCCCAGGGATGAAGCCAACTTGATCATGGTGGATAAGCTTTTTGATTTGCTGCTGGATTCAGTTTGCCAATATTTTATTGAGGATTTTTTCATCGAAGTTCATCAGGGATATTGACCTGAAATTTTCTTTCTGTGTTGTGTCTCTGCCAGGTTTTGGTATCAGTATGATGCTGGCCTCATAAAATGAGTTAGAGAAGAGTCTCTTTTTTTCCATTGTTTGGAATAGTTTCTGAAGGAATGGTACCAGTTCCTCTTTCTACCTCTGGTAGAGTTTGGCTGTGAATCCATCTGGTTCTGTGCTATTTTTTTTTTTTAGTTTGTAGGCTATTAATTATTGCCTCAATTTCAGAACTTGTTATTGGTAGTATTCAGGGAATCGACTTCTTCCTGGCTTAGTCTTGGGAGAGAGTATGTGTCCAGGAATTTACCCATTTCTTCTAGATTTTCTAGTTTATTTGCATAGAGGTGTTTATAGTATTCTCTTAAGGTAGTTTGTATTTCTGTGGGATCAGTGGTAATGTCCCCTTTATCATTTTTATTGTGTCTATTTGATCCTACTCTCTTTTCTTCTTTTTTAGTCTGGCTAGCAGTCTATTTTGTTAATCTTCTCAAAAAACCAGCTCCTGGATTCATTGATTTTTTTAAGGGTTTTTCGTGTCTCTATCTCCTTCAGTCCTGCTCTGATCTTAGTTATTTCTTGTCTTCTGTTAGCGTTTGAATTTTTTTGCTGTTGCTTCTCTGGTTTTTTTAATTGTGAAGTTAGGGTGTTGATTTTAGATCTTTCCCACTTTCTCATGGGGGCATTTAGTGCTTTAAATTTCCCTCTACACACTGCTTTAGCTGTGTCCCAGATATTCTGGTATGTTGTGTCTTTGTTCCCATTGGTTTCAAAGTGTTATTTATTTCTACCTCAATTTTGTTATTTACCCAATAGTCATTCAGGAGCAGGTTGGTCAGTTTCCATGTAGTTGTAAGGTTTTGAATGAGTTTCTTAATCCTGAGTTTCAATTTGCACTGTGGTCTGAGAGACTGTTTTTTATGATTTTCGTTCTTTTGCATTTGGCGAGGAGTCTTTTACTTCCAATTGTGTGGCCAATTTTAGAATAAGTGCTATGTGGTGCTGAGAAGAATGTATATTCTGTTGATTTGGGGTGGAGAGTTCCGTAGATGTTGATTAGGTCTGCTTGGTCCAGAGCTGAGATCAAGTCCTAAATATCCTTGTTAATTTTCGGTCTCATTGATCAATCTAGTATTAACAGTGGGATGTTAAAGTCTCCCACTATTATTGTGTGGGAGTCTGAGTCTTTTTGTAGGTCTCTAAGAAGTTGCTTTATGAATCTGGGTGCTTCTGTGTTCAGTGCATATGTATTTAGGATAGTTAGTGCTTCTTGTTGCATCGATCCCTTTACCATTATGTAATGCCCTTCTTTGTCTTTTTTGATCTTTGTTGGTTTAAAGTTTGTTTTATCAGAGACTGGGATTGCAACCTCTGCTTTTTTTTTTTTTTTCTTTTGCTTTCAATTTTCTTGGTAAATATTCCTCCATCCCATTATTTTGAGCGGATGTGTGTCTTTGCACATGAGAAGAGTCTCCTGAAAACTGCACACTGATGGGTCTTGAATCTTTATCCAATTTGTCATTGTGTCTTTTAATTGGGGCATTTAGCCCATTTACATTTAAAGTTAATATTGTTATTTGTGAATTTGATCCTCTCATTGTGATGCTAGCTGGTTATTTTGCACGTTATTTGATGCAGTTTCTTCATAGTGTCAATGGTCTTTACATTTTGGTATGTTTTTGCAGTGGCTGGTACCAGTTTTTCCTTTCCATATTTAGTGATTCCTTCAGGAGCTCTTGTAAGACAAGCCTGCTGGTGACAAAATCCTTCAGCATTTGCTTGTCTGTAAAGGATTTTATTTCTCCTTTGCTTATGAAGCTTAGTTTGGCTGGATATGAAATTCTGGGTTGAAAATTCTTTTCTGTAAGAATGCTGAATATTGGCCCCCACATTCTTCTGGCTTGTGGGGTATCTGCAGAGAGATCCGCTGTTAGTCTGATGGGCTTCCCTTTGTGGGTAACCTGACCTTTCTCTTTCGCTGCCCATAACATTTTTTCCTTCATTTCAACCTTGGTGATCTGACAATTATGTGTCTTGGGGTTGCTTTTCTCAAGAAGTGTCTTAGTGGTATTCTCTTTATTTCCTGAATTTGAATGTTGGCCTGTCTTGCTAGTTTTGGAAAGTTCTTCTGGATAATATCCTGAAGTGTGTTTTCCAAATGGTTCCATTCTCTTCATCACTTTCAGGTACACCAATCAAATGTAGGTTTGGTCTTTTCACATAGTCCCATATTTTTTGGAGGTTTTGTTCATTTCATTCTTTTTTCTCTAATCTTGTGTTCATGCTTTATTTAATTAAGTTGATCTTCAATCTCTGATATCCTTTCTTCCACTTGATCTATTCAGCTATTGATACTTGTGTATGCTTCATGAAGTTCTCATGCTGTGTTTTTCAGCTCCATCAGGTCATTTATGTTCTTCTCTAAACTGGTTATTCTAGTTAGCAGTTCCTGTAACCTTTTATCATGGTTCTTAGCTTCCTTACATTGGGTTAGAACATGCTCCTTCTGCTCAGAGGAGTTTGTTATTACCCACCTTCTGAAGCCTACTTCTGTCAATTCATCAAACTCATTCTCCATACAGTTTTGTTCCCTTGCTGGCGAGGAGTTGTGATCCTTTGCGGGAGAAGAGGCATTCTGGTTTTTCAAATTTTCAGCATTTTTGTGCTGGTTTTTCCTCATCTTCATGAATTTATCTACCTTTGATCTTTGATGTTGGTGACCTTTGGATGGTGGTGACCTTTGGATGGTGTTTTTGCATGGGCTTCCTTTTTGTTGATGTTGATGTTATTGCTTTCTGTTTGTTAGTTTGCCTTCTAACAGTCAGGCGCCTCTTCTGCAGGTTTGCTGGAGTTTGCTGTAGGTCCATTCCAGAGCCTGTTTGCCTGGGTATCCCCAGCAGAGGCTGCAGAACAACAAAGATTGCTGCCTGCTCCTTCCTCTGAAAGTTTCGTCCCAGAGGGGCACCTGCCAGATGCCAGCAGGAACTCTTCTCTATGAGGTGTCTGTCAACCCCTGGTGGGAGGTGTCTCCCCGTTAGGAGGCTTGGGGGCCAGGGACTCACTTGAGGAGACAGTCTGTTCCTTAGCAGAGCCCCAGCGCTGTGCCGGGAGATCCGCTGCTCTCTTTAGAGCTGGCAGGCAGGAATGTTTAAGTCTGCTGAAGCTGCACCCACAGCAGCCCCTTCCCCCAAGTGCTCTGTCCCAGGGAGATGGGAGTTTTATCTATAAGCCCTTGACTGGGGCTCCTGCCTTTCTTTCAGAGATGCCCTGCCCAGAGAGGAGTAATCTAGAAAGGCAGTCTGGCTACAGCTGCTTTGCGGCACTCTGGTGGGCTCCGCCCCGTTCAAACTGCCTGGGGGCTCTGTTTACACTGTGAGGGGAAAACCGCCTACTCAAGCCCCAGTAATGGCCGATACCCCTCCCTGCACCAAGCTCGAGTTCCAAGTTGGCTTCAGAGTACTGAGCTTGCAGTGAGAATTTCAAGCCAGTGGTTCTTAGCTTGCTAGGCTGCTTGGAAGTGGGATCTGCTGAGTAAGATCACTGGCTCCCTGGCTTCAGCCCCCTTTCCAGGGAAGGAAACAGTTCTGTCTCATTAGTGTTCCAGGCCCCACTGGGTTACGAAAATAAACTCCTGCAGCTAGCTTGGTGCTTGCCCAAATGGTCGCCCAGTTTTGTGCTTCAAACCCAGGCTCTGGTGGTGTAGGCACCCCAGGGAATCTCCTGATCTGTGGGTTTTGAAGACCGTGGGAAAAGCGTAGTATCAGGGCCAGACAGCACCGTCCCTCAGGGCACAATCCCTCAAGGCTTCCCTTGGCTAGGTGAGGGAGTTCCCCCGCCCCTGGCACTTCCTGGGTAAAGCGACACACCACCGTGCTTCTGCTAGCCCTCCGTGTGCTGCACACACTGTCTAACCAGTCCCAGTGAGATGAGCCGGATACCTCAGTTGGTAATTCAGAAATCACCCACCTTCTGTGTTGGTCTCTCTGGGAGCTACAGACCAGAGCTGTTCCTATTCAGCCATCTTGCCCCACAAAAGATCTCTGGGAGGATAATTTTATTGTGCAATAAATTTTGAATTTGGGTGTCCTACTAGTCTTTAGTGAAACAATCATTTTAAGTTTTTGGCTCACTTACATCACATTAAGCTAATTGGAAATTTCATCAGGTTTTCCAAGTCATTTAGGAGATGGAATTCGAAGTAAAACAAATTCCATCTCTTGCTCTGCCTATCTCCTAACCCCATTCCATCCTCCAAAATAAATGCAAACAATTCTCAATCATAAAAATATGGCTCTTAGTTACCAGAAAATTGCCATCCTCACTAAAATATGTAAATACTTCTCATTTCAAAATAGTTGTGTTAAATTCAAACTGCCTTAAAAACCACATACCTCAGTATTTTGAAATGATTAAAAAGACTATATTAAGACTGTTTCTAGATTTTCAGAATTTATTTAAGTTAAAAGAATACTTTGTACTTCCAAGAATCAATAATCATGGAACTTGAATTGATATTTTACACTTATTTTTTATATGTAAAGCCCTCACCTCCCTCCTTTCCCTCCTTCCTTCCTTCCTTCCTCCTTCCTTCCTCATCAGATTAAAGTCATCAGGCAGGCTAGAATGAGGAAAGCTGCACAACCAGAGTCAGAACTCAGGAAGGAAGGTGCTGAGAAGGGCAATAGCCTAATGAGGCTGAGGGATTGGTTATACACAAGGAGACTAAGCAAATAAATATGTTGAGGATAATGAGAGCTAAGTCAGAGAAGTGAGTTACAAATATGAAAAGAGTTAAGCTAGAATGAACCCTATAGTGTTGGATTATAATTAGTAGTAGTGGTGTGAGTTCATGGTTTTAAATATTTTTAGATATAGAAATATAAAGGGATGTGTATGTGTGTAATATGCGTGTATGTATGTATGTACACACGTACATACATATATTTTCTACCTCTGTCCACTGACAGGGCCTAGTAGCAATGAGAACATACAGTACCCAGATCTTTTTTTCTAAATATCACTCTCTGAAAGAAACTAGGGGACCTTGGAGAAATAGCTGATTGCAGGGTAGGGACAACAAAGGTCCAAAATAAGCACAGAACATCTCATTTCACCAGAGAGTAAGTGCTCAAAGAACGGAGTAGTGTCAAAAGGACACAGAGTCAGCTTGAAGGGGCTCTCCCTGGAAAACCCTAAGACAATTTGGGCATCAAAATACATAGTGTTAGCAGATTAGATCACATTAGATGAAACAGGAATCCATCAATCCACATGGATGTCATACCAAGGAGACAACAGAAATTCCTTCTCTAAAGTTGAATGCCAACTAATAAATGTTAGTGGAATGATGGAATTAGGATATCACCGTCTGGTGATCATCATGGTAAAAGTAATTAATTCAGGCAAGAAATATCAAAAAATGCTAGCACTCAGTGTGTAAGAGTTGGATAAGAAATGTGATATTTACCTTGTTTCAAACTGTGTCTCAATAAAATATTGTATATTACAAATGGAACAAAGAATTTATAGTGAAGAAGCTTAGCAAATACTAGCTTATGCAAATGACCAAACTTAACGTCACCAGTAACAGGAAATAAGATCATGGGTCATGTGATAGAGATAACATCACTTCTGTGATAGTCCCAACAAAATGCATAACCTGAATCTCATCATGAGGAAACATCAGAGAAAACAAAATTGAGGATATTCTACAGAATAGCCAGCCTGCAACCTTCAAATACATAAAGTCCAGAAAGATCAGGAATGACTGTATTGTTCTGAATTGAAGGAAACTAAAGAAATCTGACAAGTAAGTGTAATATGTGATCCCAAAGGATGTTGTTGGGACATTTGGTGTGAAACTTGGATGGAATCTCTGGGTGAACATATGTAGGCATTCCTTAAAGTGTGCTTGCAAATTTTTTGTCAATTAATTTCTTTTAACGTACAAACTTCTAACGCCCTTTAAAAAGCCCTCCCTAACTTCCTCAGATTGTACCACTCCTCAGGTTTGCCTGTGATATATTTTCCCTTGCAAACTGCCTCTGTGTGATCTATACAAAACCAACCTATAATACTGTATCAGATCAGCAGCGCAGTATAGCAAAAGCGGTCAAAGTGATGCTAGACTGATGGAATACCTGTCGTTGTTGCCTAGTTTCATGGCCATGAATGAAGCTACAGCAGATAATTTACCTTCCTGCAATCTCTCCACTTGTGATGCTGTCTCTGATGCTGCTAGCATCACGGAGAAGGGGTTAGAAAGCTGGCATGAAGAGGGCTGCAAAGGTGAGTGGAAGCAGTGATTATTCCATACCCACAAAGGTCGCTAAGGAAAAAGGGAATTGCATACTAGGTGCATAGCGTATGATCCATCCTTAACCCGAGAGAATCCCAAGTTAAGATTACGCTGGCATTCGTTCCAAAAATTCCCTCTAGAATACCTTCCTCCTGCTTATTTTGGGGCCAGATGTCTAAAAGAAAGGGTGAATGAAGAATAAACCAAATTCCCCTGATACCCACATTTCTTCCTACTTGTGTAGGAGACATTTCAAATAAGCACTGGCAAGATGCAATGTATGTAATGGGCACTGAGCATAATTGATGTTGTTTCTTATGTACTTTTATAATACATTCTACAAAAAAGTTCATAAAGACTCCAAACTTTCCCAGCTTTCATTTTAAGATATCATGAGCCAGGAGAAAAATTTGTTCTATTTGTTGGGTGGTACATGGGGATAACACCTCATTCATATGAAGATGGAATTCTCAACCCCGCACAGAGGCTGTGCACGGAAACTGTGATTTTTGGTCCTTATTCGGAGACATATTCAATTTTATTTAATATCTGGCTCTTGTCATATTTGCTTAATTGCTTTCCAGCAGAAGAGCAGATTCAAAGCAGGAAAACCTAAAGGGTAGCTGGGGAGTGGTCAGGAATATGTGAGCCAGGCACAGTGACAGAAGAGACTAGTGGGTGGAGGAAGAGCTAACATCCAAGCTAGAATTTCATTACAATGCAAGGCAATCAGAAATATTAAAACAAACACAAGGAAAGCATAACTCCAAAAAAGGCTAATTATTATCTACATTCTTCGCTTGAGAAGACAGAGGAATTGCTACCATATTAATAAAAAGTTTACATAGAATTATTTAAAGAGAAGGCCAGTTACATGAATTATCTTATGTAAACTACTTCCCCCCACGCATCTTACATATATAAAGTTTTACAAGAAGAGATCCAAACACTGAAGAGTTCGGTACCATATTATAATAATGGTGATCAAAGTTCTAAGAAGAAAAGGGCTGTAAGTAAGATGGAAATAAAAGGACTAATCACAAGTGGTTCCGTAATAAAGTCTTTTGTGCTTTTAAAGTGCAAAGCAGGTGTGAATAGACATTTCTTCCCACATACTTTGTTCATTCGACTATTAAATATTTATTGAGTGTCTGCTATGTGCCGTACACAGATCTTCATATAGGGGATGCAGCAGTAAAGAAAACCAACAAAATTCTCAGTCTTCCTACAGCATATCATCTAGTCAGGGGATACAGGAAATAATTTTATCACACTTAAAGGGTTTTATAGCTAGAAGAAATTTGGGTCATATCAATAACAATTAACCTAAGAATCTCTAAAAATTGCTCCCCTAACATTCATTTTAACAGCTAACACACTCTGCAGAGAAAAATTTTAAATGCACATTTCTTATTTTAAAGTGTCTAATTACTCATTTTTAAAGTAGAACTTTTTGCTATTTTCTTTCGTGCTTTTCTGCTAAATATACCCAAAAACTGAATGTCCTTTACATTAAAGTCTGACTGTATCTTCAAACTCATGACTACTTGTATCTTTGCAGTAATGTGGCTGTAAATGTATAATTGTAATAAGTTTCAAATAGTTTGAGAGCAATTGGATTTGCAGAGAGTTCATCTCTGTAGTGCATTTTCAAAATATTATTTTGAAAATTATATTTTGCTTCTGAAAGAAAGGCAACCACTAATGGAAAAACTTAATGTCTTAAGTAAGTGCTTAATTTGGAATACAGAAACCAGTATAATTTTAAAAAGAAAAATATTCTTTGTAGAAACTGTAAATTCTCCCATTATAACAGTGAACAGAGCTCCAGGTAATAATGCATAGGCATGTCAGGTTGCATCTGTATACTTGACTACATTAGTATTAGTGACATCAGGCAGATATATAAGAAAACCCTTGGAAAAAGAAGTGCCTTAGCCATGATTTCAGAGAGAAACCATTAGTAGACCTATTTATGATTCTATTACAGTTTTCAGATAGGATGTGAACATGGAATTTCATTGAAAATAGTTTAATTTTTTATATAAAAGGTTTTGTATATAATGTGTATCAGTGACTATTTTCAAAATCATTTTCATCAAGACACCTTTTTTCTAAAATGGGCATTGCCTACACACATGCACACACATGTACATGCACGCGCACACATTATTTTTTATAGTGTTGGGTTTGATTATTAAAGTGTTGTCAAATCTGTTTTATTTATCTGCATATAGCAGTGATTGGCTTTTTTGAATTGAAATGTTTGCACATTGATGCATTGAAATAAGGAAAATTATTTATCTCTGAGCACTAAACTTACTTTTGCATATTTCTGTAGTATTGCAATCCCCAGATCCAGATCGTGGGAAGTTAGGGAAAATGTGTGATTTTGTGTTTTGAATTACTGTCAGAATTACATACACAGTTACAACAAACTTTATTTAAAGGACATTTCATTATACTGTAAAAATCTCAATATTTATATTTCTTGTTTTTCTCTTTATATATTTTGCATTTTAATATGTTGAGCCACTGGAAATTTGTAACAGATTAATTTGTTATAGGAGATTAAATGTGTTGTCATTGTCTCCATTGTCTTTGTCCAGAGCCTATTATTATGGAAACAATAAAATTTATTGTGTCAAAAAAAAAAAAAAAAAAGAAAAACGGCCACAATGTAATGTTGCTAACAGCTCAGTAGAGGGTGCTGTAACTTAAAGCTGAAGAATGGCTCTCGGATAGATTATGAAAGCTGAAAGGTGAATGCAGGCAGGAGGAGGTAAGAGGAAAGAAAAATAAGTGGATCTTTACTTTTTGAAAGTACATCACTGCAGTTATAGATCCTTGAAGTACACCAACAAATGATACAGAACTAAAATATGATTTTAAACCTGAGTGTAACACGTTTTTTGTTTTAAAAAATATTCTCTGTCCATATTCACTCACTGTGCACTACAATATAACGAAAAAACAACAAAAGAAATGTAATACATTTATCTTTTAAAATTATATTATATATTGCAAAATCGATTACATCAGCATCCTTCCACCAATAATAAAATTAAAGGTTCATATTGAGTCAGGACTTTTATGATTCCTGTGAATGATTTATCCATGACTCAGTAAGCCTGAAGTGTATAATGTGACTTTAAGCTGCAAAAATGGACTGAGATGGTTAAAGTTAGTTTTCTTTTCTTTTCTTGCTTTATTTTATTGAGACGGGGTTGCCCAGGTTGAAGTGCAATGGCATAATCATGGCTCACTGCAGCCTCAAACTCCTGGGCTCAAGTGATCCTCCTGCCTCAGCCTCCCGAGTAGCTAGGACTACAGACGTACACCACGATGCTCAACTAATTTTTAATTTTTTTTGTAAACACTGGGTCTCACTATTTTGCCCCGTCTGATCTCAAACTCCTGGGTTCAAGGAATCCTCCCTCCTTGGGTTTCCAAACTGCCTGGATTACAGGCATAAGCCACCATGCCTGGCCTTATTTCTTAATTGTGGTAAAATGCACATAACATAATATTTACCGTCTTAACCGTTTTTAAGTGTACAGTTCAGTGGCATAAAGTACATTCAAACTAGTGCAACCAAACTCCAGAACTCTTCATCTTACAAAATGGAAACTTTGTACCCATTAAGAGTAACTTCTTATTCCTCCCTCCTGGAAGCCCCTGGCAACCACCATTCTACTCTATTTATGAATTTCACTACTCTAAGTACCTCATATAAGTAAATCATACATTGGTCCTTTTGTGACAGGCATATTTTATTTAGCATAATGTCCTCAAGTTTCATTCATTTGTAACATGTCAGAATTCCTTTCTTTTTAAAAGCGCAATCATATTCTATTGCATGTATATACCACATTTCTTATCCCCTCTTCATGACAGACACAAAGTTTGATGCAAGTATCATGGGTTTTGAGGACACAGCAAATATAATTAAGAAATGTCAGCTAACAGTTCTCACAATAAAGTGAAAGAGAAGCTGCTGCCTTGGGCAAGTTACTTGCTCAGAGTTTGTTGAAACAAAGAATATGTGAATTTTTCTCCTGTACCAGATGCGAGCTGTGCAAGACAGCCAGGGTGGGGTTGTCTTAGATTTTTTTCTGAAAGGGATTTCTGGAAGAAATACAGATTTCAGCAGGGGAAAAAATGTTGAGGCACCATCAGATGTCTAGCACCTGAAAAAGGAGACGTAAGTGACCAGCCAGGGGGAGAGTACATGATCCCCACTAAGCAACTACATGAGAGATCCATAGTAACAGGTGGGGTAGGGAGTCTCCACATAACTCACAAAACAGACCCATAAGAGAAAGAGAGGGCTTTAAAAGCTCTCAGGGCAGAGAACATAGGGCTACTCACAACTATATTAGTGTCAAGTAAGAACCTGCTAACTGCCCGCTTCCTCTCCTCGCTATCCTATTGTGACTCTGATGTGGTTAGCGAGCTAGAGAAGGAAGAATCCTAGACGGAGAAAAAAGAAAAAGGCAAACACATCCACTTTCTCCACTGCAGGCTTTTGGTCTGAGCTGGCCTGAGTGCAGGGAGAAGAAGTTTTAGCTTGAAATTGAGGTTAAAGGTTTGATGACCACCCTGGGTCTAACATATGAATTCCTTTTTGGAAGAAGCTTTCATTAACTGGAAGTGGTAAGTTATAGGAGTTGCCCTTTCATCTAGAGCAAGGGAAGAATTTATCCCACAGAAGAAATTCAAAGTGACCCGGGGAATCACAGTTAAAATTGTCTATAATTGCATCTGCCAGTCATGCTTGTTTCCAGACTTAAAATATTCAGCTACAACTGTCTCCTAAACATGAAGATATTTAAGAGAAATGAACGGAGATAGCTGTTAAAGAAACATCCTAAATTCTAGATGCTTAACATGTATTATTCTTATTTAAGTCTTATAACATTTCCTCAAAGTTGGACTTAATACCTTTTTTTACGTATGTGAAAAGTGATTATCAGTGAGATTGAGTGACTTTCCCAAATGACAGAATCATGACTCATATCCCTGTTTGTCTGGTTCCAACCACCTTGTCCTTTCTAAATATCATCTTAGTTCACATTTCCTTCTCTTAGACATCTTCATCTTCTAGCAAATTAACTGAAAATCTCTAAGTTCCAGTTTCCTTATGTACAAGTCCAAATTCATAATGCCTGCTCTGCCATCCTCCAAAGAATATTGAAAGAATCATGAGATACACACACTACACTCTAAAGCACTCCATTAACTCAAGAATACTATTATTGGTGGAAGAGAGCAATATCTTTTGTCCTCACTCTTCTGCAGACAGAAGAATTATACTGGAAGTAATAACATGTGTTTGAGGATCAAAAATCATCATCATAAATTGTTTAGAATATACTATCACACTAAATGTCATTATGTCTTCTCTTAAGAAAAAATGTTTAAAAATAAGCATAAGCTGGCCAGATTTGGTGGCATATGCCTGGTAGTCCCAGCTACTCAGGAGGCTGAGGTGACAGGATCATTTGAGCCCAGGAGTTTGAGGCTGCAGTGAGTCACGATCACATCTCTGCATTCCAGGCTGGGTGACAGAGTGAGACACCGACTCTAAAACGATCTTTTTTAATTTAAAAAAAGGTATATTGGTCTAAAAACAATAACAGTGCTACCAAAAATAGAAGTACAGAAATGAAGACCATCGTTCTTCATTTGTATCGCTGAATCTGAAAAACGATTTGGATTATCAGTATTATTTTTTTCAAGACAGAATCTTGCTCTGTCGCCCAGGCTGGAGTGCGATGGAGCAATCTTGGCACATTGCCACCTCTGCCTCCTGGACTCAAGTGATTCTCATGCCTCAGCCTCCTAAGTAGTGGGAATTACAGGTATGCGTCACCGCGCCCAGTTAATTTTTGTATTTTTAGTAGAGACTGGGTTTCACTATGTTGGCCAGGCTGGTCTCGAACTCCTGTCCTGAAGTGATCCGCCCGCCTTGGCTTCCCAAAATGCTGGGATTACAGGTGTGAGCCACCAGCCCATTCAATTATTTGGTTTATTAAGTCATTACCACCCTAATTATGACGTGGCTGCAGTAATCCAGAATGCACATGAATGAATTGGAGTACTGGCTACTATGTGCACCCATCAGAATTTTATTTAGCCAAATTTATTTGTTAAACCTCACAACTTCCTGCTACCCACCAAACATCTTTCACAAACTTCCAGGTAGCCTTTTGCGACATGACAGGATGCATCAATGAACAGCATTATAAACAACATTTTGCTTGCATGGAAATATTAACCATGCTCCACCTTGAAGAACAAAGGTTATTTATGAAAGTAGTGGTGACTAAGAAAATCAACTATTATAAAATTACTAAATTTTAAAAATAGATTAAAATACACCTGTTTTATTCTGATTACATGCTGTCTAAGCAATTAATCTTAAAAACAAAGAAACTACATTAGCTAACTGGGTTATAGTAGAATGATTTTTTCAGCGACCTTAAATTTATCTCCTTCATACCAATTTCTTTTGCTGTTTTTAAATGATCTTTGTAATTTCATTTCTGATTATGAAACTGGCACGTATTTACCATATAGAAAATGTAGGAGATCACAGAAGAAAAAATACTCATGATTTCACTGTCCAGAGACTTAAGTGTATAAGTTGAGTATCCCTAATCTGAAAATCTGAAACACAATTTATTGTTAAGTACTGACCTCATGTCCTGTAACCCTGATGAATTTATTAATTCTAGTAGTATTTTAGTACGTTCCTTGAGGTTTTCTACATATAAGAACATAACATCTGCAAATAAAGGTAGTTTAACTTATTCTGTTCCAATCTGGATACCTTTTATTTCATTCTCTTACCTAATTGTCCTGGCTACTATCTCCAGTACAACATTGAATACAAGTGGTGAGAGTGGACATCTTTGTATTATTCCTAATCTAAAGGTGAAAGCATTCAGTCTGTCACCACTAAACATGATGTTAGCTGAAGTTTTCTCACAGATGTCCTCTATCAGGTTGAGGAAGTTCCCTTCTATTCCTTGTTTGTTGAAAGAATACTGAATTTTGCCATATGCCTTTCCCATGTCTATTGAGATTATCACATTAGTTTTGGTTTATTTTCTACTGATGCTACCTTAATTGGTTTTCAGATGTTAAACTAACCTTCTATCCCTGGGATAAATCCCACTTGGTCATGATGTATAATTTTTGCAGATGTTACCGGATTCAGTTTGCTAATATTTTGTTGAGGATTTTGTGTCCGTATTTAAAGACGATACTCATTTGTAGTTTTCTTGTGATGTCTTTGGTTTCAGTGTTGGAGTAATACTGGCCTCGTAGAATAAGCTGGGAAGTGTTCTCTCCTGTATTTTTGGAAGAGTTTGTGAAAAGTTGTTATCAACTCTTCTTTAGATATTTGGTAGGATTTAGCAGTGAATCCGTCTGGGCCCAGGCTTTTGTTGGCATGTAGTTTTTTTGATTGCTAATTCAATCTCTTTAGTTTTAGAAGTCTATTCAGATGTCAGTTTTGATTGCTTGTGCTTTTTTTCAGTATTTAAAAACTATTGCAAACTTCTAGTTTGTAATGGTTCTGATAAGAAATTGAATGTCATCCTTACATTTACTCCTCTGTGTGTAATGTGTTTTTTCTCCTTTTATTCCTCTTAGGATTTTCTGTTCATCACTGGTTTTGATCAATTTGAGTATGGTGTTCCTTGGTGTAGTTTTCTTCATGTTTCTTGTCCTTAGGATACACTATTTTTCTGGGATATTTGGGGTTTATGGTTTTCATTGCCCATCAATGATAGACTGGATAAAGAAAATGTGGTACATATACATCATGGAATACTATGCAGCCATAAAAAGGAACGAGATCATGTCTTTTGCAGGGACACAGTTGAAGTTAGAAGCCATTATCCTCAGCAAACTAATGCAGGAACAGAAAACCGAACACCACATGTTCTCACTTATAAGTGGTAGCTGAATGATGATATCACATGGACACATGGGAGGAACAACACACACTGGCCCCAGCCTGTCAGAAGTGAGGGATGGGGGAGGGGGGAGGGAGAGCATTGGGAATAGTAGCTAATAGATGTTGGGCTTAACACTTAAGTGATGAGATGATCTGTGCAGCAAACCACATGGCACATGTTCATCTATGTAACACACCTGCACATCCTCCACATGTACCCCTGAACTTAAAAGTTGAAGGAAAAAACTAAACAACGATTTTAAAAATCCACTTAAACCTCCATACATGCACAACAATTAAATCAAAATTAATTACAGAACTAAATGTAAACTGCAAAACTAGAGAACTTACAGTAGAAAGCATAAGAGAAAATCTTCATGATGTGGAGTTAAGCTAAGTATTCTTAGTTATCACATCAACAAAACTATTAAAGAAAACATTGGTAAATTCAACTTTATACAAATTAAAAATTCTTGGTCAGCACAGGACACTATTCATAGAATAAAAAGACATCCTACAGATTGAGAGAAGAATGTGGAAATCAGTAATATGACAAAGAACTTGTGTGATGGTTGTGTGTCACTGTGACTGAGCCCCAGGGTGCCAGGACATTCGTTCCTATGTTATTCTGTGTTTGTACTGGAGGTGGGTTCTGGATGACATTAACACAGGAATAGGCAGTCTACGTGAAGCAGATTGCCCTCCCTAAGGTGAGTGGGCCCCAACCAATCAACCAAAGGCCAGAGGAGAAGTAAAAGGCCTAATAAGAAGGAAATACTTTCCTGGGTATCCCTCTTTCCATCTTGGGAATTTCAGCCTCCAGAATCTCATGTCTAAACTGTGCGTATATACACACACACATATATGCCATATACATATACATACATATATATTAATATATACATATAGACACACACACACACTTCATAGGTAGGTAGGAAGGATTGGATTTTGTAAAGCTCAGCCATTCGATGATAATTGTTGAAGCTGGTCAGTGATTATGAGGATGTTCTAGTATAGGGTTCTGTCTCCTTTTTTATACTGCTGAGGTTCTGCATTTGAAGAAGTAGGTTAGAATAATAGCTGAATTTCTCCACATACACTTCAAAGCCCTAGGGATTAACACAGAGTCCAAAATACTACCCATAATCCTGCCCCCAACCAGGGCTAGGGAACACTGGGGACCCCAAGTGATTTTATTTAGCCAGGTCTGGGAGCCACATAACAGCACAGGGAGCAGGAAACACCATGCAAATAGAGGCCAGCACAGCAGCGAGGGCCTGTTAATGACAAAACACAGGTAAAACCTTTCTCAGAAAGCGAGTGTGGAGAAACACAGATCAGGCCTGAGACCTGGTGGGTCAGAACCCTGCTACTGGGGAATTGAAAGGCAGGGGCTTCACAGTGCAGAGGACCAGAGGGGCCAATCTTCAAAGGGCAGAATCGCTGGGAGACGGGGAGGCCTGGACAAAGGGAGCATCCTCTGGAGACTTGTGGTGAAGAGAATGAATGAAGTAACTGGCAGAAATTAAAGGTCCTGGTTGAACAAAATAGAACCCCAGACTGAGAGCACACAGGCCTGTCCCCCAAAGCCAGACAATATTTCCTAAAATCCCAAGCAAAAGTCATTTTTGGCAAGTACCTTATATCCAGTGATGCAATCCATGTATCAAGACATTGGGAAAAGTTTATGATTAAGTAGGTAAAACTCAGCGAGACCTGATTCCCTCATGAGGACTCTGTTAAGGATAAATTCCACTCAACAAGTGATGCTTAGGACACACTTTTGAACAGCTCATGTGCATCAACATATTTAAATGTAGATCTCAACCAAAAACCAAGGTGTCACATAGGCTGTCACTTTATGTTTGGGTTAAAATAAAAAATAAGAAATGGTAGGTAATGAGGTTAGAGAAGAGGAAAATGATGTCTTTGATTGTCATAGTGGTAAAAATTTGACATTCAAAGAAATAATTTAAAATGTATAAACCAAACAGTGGAAATGTGTCAAGTTAAAAGGGGATTAGTGACGTTAAAACCTTTTCAGTGCAATGTTAAATGGGAGCTATACAACTCTTCCTAAATAACAAACAAAAAGCACGCACACTTACACAAACACAAAAAGAAAACAAATAACATCAACAAAGAAATACAGGAAATACAATCTACCACATACGGTAAACGTAGACTAGAACATGGAAGAGTTTTGAATATAAACAAGGAAATAAGAATGTTTTTATTAATCTAAATTCTTATCCGCCAAAATCAATCATAATAATAAAAGCTTAAAACATTATATGTAAAAAATCCAATAGTCCAGAGTGAGAGGCAAGAAATGTTTTAATTAAACAGATTTAAAACTTAAAATTTTAACTGATGGACTAAAATTAATTTTGGATGAAAGTTATAATTGGGGCAGAGAATATTCTTTTTCACAACAGAATGCCAGCAAAAAGAAATTAAAATTAATTTTGGATGAAAGTTAAAATTTGGGCAGGGAATGATCTTTTTTACGAAGAATGCCAGCAAAAGCAAGTATAAGGTAAGATTTTGAGATAGACAATTTTCAATGTACAAACTTAAATATAATAACTGACACAGACGGGGTGATTAATTGGTGATAAAATGTTCTGAAGAAGATCACTAGAATACAGGATATTTATACTATTTCAAACCACTTTCCAAATTACTTACAAATAAGATGTCTTTACAAGGGACAGAGCTCCTAGACCCCTCCTTAACCAAGTGACCATCCTAGTATCACCGCACTGGGGATGGACACACTGGGCCTTCTCTGCCTGCAGATGGGCTGAGGTAGGAAGCTCACAGCATGGACTCTGCAGAGTTCCTGGCAAAATGTTTAGGCTGAATTTAATCATGACGACATTTTCAGATAACTTCAGAATGTAGACCATTGAGCCAGACAGCTGACCTGTCCTCCACAAACAAGTCCATGTCACCACCATCAATGACAACAACAAAAAGATGAGGAGATGTTTTGGGTTCAAAATGACTAAAAAAGCATAAGCTGCATAGGCTTTTTACTCTTTTTGAACTCAAAATGTCTCTTCTCCTTTTTGTTGTGTTCTTGGTGGTGACATGGACTGTTTGAAGGAGACAGGTCAGTTGTCCTGTTCAATGTTCTACATTCTGCAGTTATCTGAGGGTTACCGCCTATGAAACTCAGGCTAAGCGTTTTCAGCAAGAACATGGCATTGCTCATACTCTGCCCTGGCAGAGTCCCGGCTGACATGCTGTCTCCTGCCAGCAGCTGCGGACTCCTGTTCTCTACACGATGGGAATTGAGAAACAGGGCTAACGCCGGTCAATGCTATTTGTCCATCTGGGCATTGGTCTCCCTAGGTATTGGTCACAATTGGAGGGGGATGGAATGTGGCTTCTCAAATCAAAGGAGCATAGTGGCTTGAAGTCATCAAGAGTATTCTGTGTCTGAAATTCAATCCTCAGTGAAGGACCCCTGCAGTATTGTGTTTGGACTTAAACTTGCTTTGCTGTTTTAGTTGTTTTTATCAAGTGGAAAAGCTGCTTTTTGTGACATTCTTTCATCCTGCCATCCTTTGCGTCCTTCCAGCAGTATTTGGTATCTGTAGGGGAGAGAGAGAAAAAAAATCAAATGAGCATTTTTGTCAGGTCCACCTGGTGGCTGAGTCTGGAGGGATTGCTAAGCAGTGATATCTCACTGGGATCTCCTGCTGGGAGGATGAGCTGAAGGGTGAGTCCTGGGCTGTCAGAAGGGGGAAGCACCATCCACAAGTGAGAAGAAAACACTCCTGAACTTCCAGTCAGCCTGGGGTGCAGGATATAAGGACCCCACCTATGCCCAACCAGCAGTGGGCAACATCATCCCCTTTCCTCCTGATCCCCTCTGTCTGGAGCAGAGTGATGGCTTTTCCTCCCAGTGAGCATGTACTCAGCATCAATCATGCATGCCAAGAAACAGAGGGGAGCAGAAGGACAGGAGCCTCTGCAGAGAAACCCACCCCCTTACAACTCCATGTCCTAGTCTTCTAGGGAGGAGCGGGAGGGCCATGGGAAGAACCCTGGATATGAGAAGCAGCAGAAACCTCAGACAACATCCACGTCCAGGTCCACATTTTACAACAGAGGAGTAGTGATGCCACAGGGGTAAGATGGAACTAAGGCCACATGACTTGCTATTGACAACCCAGGAATTAGAATCCACCCACTAAGGCCTTTCAATAAAGATTGGAGAAAGCGAGAGGAAAGGCTCCAATCTGGAGGTCTCAACAGTCATGAGTGGTGGTTGGGTCACCTTGGCTAGGACAGGAATAAGGTTTTACAGATAAATATGATGGTGCTGCTGTTTCTTTGGTTGGTTAAAAAAAATAAAAAATATATATAATTATAAGTTTTTGTCCAAAGGTCATCAGGAAAGAAAGGGAGTTTAAAAAAAGAGACTCAAAATGGAGTTAGCAAAGTGAGAAAAGGGACTGTAACCATGGCCCAACTTATTTTCCCTAATGCCCTGAAGTTGATTCCACATCCGGTTCCACCTTAAGGCATTTCTAGAAATATTCTCAATATCTAGACCAAGAAAACTCTGAAGTACAAAGTGAAAAGGATTAGTTTGTGTTTTACTACAGTCTCCCGTCCCGCTTATTGTTTTCCCCAAGTACATTATGAGAAAGGTTTCTTTTTAATATTTTATGCCAGTGTGAAGAGAGGCATGAAGAAGTATTCATATACAATCTCGTGCAGCATTTCAGTCTTAATTTGTTATTGTATGCTCTTCAGGACAGGGGGACCAATGAGTTCTCTTTGGGGATTTTGCAGAAGGACAATAATTGACCAAAAGTAAAATTTTCACATTGCAGTGGTGAGACCATTGGTGGGCTATAAAATGGGTGTGGGGAAATGTAAACTGGAAGTTTTATTTTAAAATGCAAAAGAAAATACTAAATTCCACTATATGTAATATGGCAGGTATTATTTCCGTACATTAGGTGTTAATATCATGACTATTTCTTACTTATCTTGTATTCAAAATTCAGCAAGTGTGCTTCAAGCAGAGGCTAAAAGTCTAATCTATTAATTTTCTTGTTTTTCTTCTTGATTTTTTTCTATGCTATACGAAGAGTACTATTGAGAGGGGAATACAGATCCCATCAAAGTCTGATAGAGGCTCAGCCTTTTCTGTGGAGTAGCCACACATATGTGGCACTTCCATGTTGGTAACCTGAGGTCATAGTAGACCAGGGGTCCTTCTCGTCTTTAGCCACATATTAGAATCACATGGGAGCATTTTGAAACTACAGATGCTCAGACCACACCCCAGGCCATGTAAGTGAGCATCTCTAAGTGTAAGTTGAAGGCATTCATCTTAATTGAAATCTCACCGGGTGCTTATTACATGGCAGCAGGATTTAGAGATACTAAATGGACCAGCCCAATTTCCCATCATTTTCTTTCCTTTCCCCGTTTATCTCATGACTGGCTTTGTTCCCAGTGGTTCCATGGATTTTAGCCTTCTCTCTGACAATTTCAGTTAAATCTCTGTCTTATCAATTGGGCTGCACCGAAGCAAAGACTGTCCTGTAGACAGATTCCTGTCATCTAGTGTATGCATAAAGCTGGTCCTGGAGTCACTTTTCTCAAAGTTAATTCATAAAATGCTCTCTCATATACAATGGCCTCAAGATTCATCTGACTTGCATTTTAGACCCTTAACTGGACTTGAAAAGTGGAAATGAGAATAAAAAGGAGAGAGGTTAGAATGACGTACCTCATGATGTATGCAGTTTTCAAGTCCTGCCCTCTGCATGTACTTTTGGAGTGATGTCCCTTTAGAATGTCATAAATGTTCCCCAGTTAACATCAGCTCAAGTGAGTCCATGAG
This sequence comes from Homo sapiens, assembly GCF_000001405.40. Lineage (NCBI taxonomy): Eukaryota > Metazoa > Chordata > Mammalia > Primates > Hominidae > Homo > Homo sapiens. The sequence goes on from NW_017852928.1 coordinate 238,185, forward strand.
GTGAGAACACTGAGACCCTGGCAACTCCATCCACGTTGGCACTAAGCTGCACATCTGGGGCTAAAGACAAACCTGACTCCAGGCCAGTAGGGAACTCCCACCTGTGACCCTGGTTCTAGTTTAGTTTCCTAGGGGGGCTCTTAGTGCTTAGTTTTAACACTTCTCATTCAGAGGAACAAGTGATGATTAAGAGTTGAATTAGTTGTGTTGCTCAAAAGAAGACTCAAGAGGAAAATCTTCATGTAAATGATGTATTAAAGCAATGACTTCTGCAGAAAGAGGCAATGGAGTTGGGGATGCAGCAAGGAAAGGTAAATTTCCCAAAGGAGTGTGTGATTCCGGGCAAACAACCCTGTGTTCAGCAGCTTAAACTATGTACTTGGATGGGGACAAGGAGGCCTGGCTCTCCTGTGGCCATGAGAGGGACTCTCAAGACAGTAGAAAAAGGAATAGAGCAGAGTTCAGAGAGTAAAGAGAAGATGGGTAGAGAAGGGGCCAGTCAGGGTGGGAGCCCATGGGACACAGAGCTAAGACCAGACAGAGGTTAGAGCAGCTGTTGGAGAGAACAAATGGGAGAGAAAAAGCAGTGAGAGAATGAGCTGTCACCATAGACAGAGAAATAAGAAGTGAGTGCAGCTATCAGCCATAGATGTGATTACCTCTGCACTCTCAGCATGCGGGCCAGTGAATCTGAATGCCAGTCTCCACTTGCTGAACGGGAGTCTTCTTCTGATGGTCTTCAGTATCAGGACAAGGGAGGCACGAATCCGGCCAGTGACTTGACGCCCTTGTGTGTTGCTTGCTGAGCCTTCAAGTGCATCATCTTCCAGCTGGGGAGGGTTCTTCATCCCCAGAGAGGGCTCTAAAACCAGCTCTGAAAAGAAAACCACAGCCAATGGGATCCGCTGCCATCCATGATCTTACCGTAACTTTCTCTTCCACCCAGAGGACATCAAATCAGGAAAGAGCCTTGGACAAGAAAGTCCAAAGGGCGAGGGGAAGCCGATAGAGTCACTTTAATACTTTCTTTTTTGTTGATCTTTCCTACATTACTCAGTAACGACAAGATTGCCAGGATCCAAAGGCACTGCCAAGTCACAAAAATATTCCAGAAACATAGGATTCAGAAACACAAATAGCTTCCAGGTAGATAAGGCAAAGGCAAGGAAATAACACTGTATGTAGGCTATGCTTTGGGGAGAGAAGAGATTACAAAAATCAAAGTTAAATAAGAACTGGGTTCAAACAGGAGATGGGAATGGAAGGGCCTGGCAGGGTGGCAGCCCATGTGGCACAGAGGTGAGACCAGACATAGGTGACAGCAACTGATGAGAGGAAAGAACCAGGAAGACTAAACCTAGAGAATTTACAAAAGTTGCATCATTATATGATCTACTGCATATATATATACACCCTATATAGCATACACACCAGATATACATAGTCACACGTAATAGGACAAATGATACACATGCATGTATCTGTACACATTAATTTAAAGAAAAAAAATATAGGGATTTGGGAGGGATTGAATGTAAGAGTAGAGTCACTATTCTGGTCCATCGAAATTGGAAAAATAATTGGAGACATGAGAAGAATGAGAAAGAATAGGTATGGGAGAAACAAATGACCTGGTAGACAGCAGGGAGAAATCACCAGGTGAAGGAAAGTGTTAATGAAACGAAAGGCGTTCAGTCTGTCCTCTTACCTGGAGCCTGGTTCAGGCTCTGGACTCCAGGGAAAGTGAGCAAGAGGGAGTGTGTCTGAGCCAGTGGGGTGAGTCTTGGCTGGGGGTGTGAGAATCCACAGAGAAGCAAAAGAGAGTTCAGTGCTAAGAAATCAGTCTAAATAAGTTATCATGGCACGTGTCAGGGACTGCACATCCCCCGACACTCCCGGAGCACCTTCCATGTGTCCTCTCCACTGGCCCAGATGGTGCTCATTATCTCACGCAACCCTCCCTCCCCCTGAGGACAGGGGTTCCCTCATTCCTCAGCTGAGGGCATCGCCTGACAGATGAGCACCAGGCAGCCCCAGGGGCTCCAGGAGGAGATATTGAGTGGGATGGAGAGTGAGAATGAACACGACCCAGGATTTTAAGGTAATCTGAGCAGAAATGGATCCCTGTGAGACAGAAACCGAGGACATGGCCACGGACATGAGTGGAGAATGTGAACTAAATGGAATTTCATAAAAGAGACTGATGTGAACACTTTCCATGTGAAAGTTGCCCTTTTATTTCAAAAAAAGCAGAAAAAACAGCAGAAGCAGCTGGACACGTCAGGAGACTGAGTGTGGGCCCAGGATTTACACTGTTACTCAATGTGCCTCATAGGTTGTTATTGAAAGTGCCTGACAGGGGAAAATTGGCTTCATGAGGGATGGAGAAGGAGAGGAAGAAAACTGGCAGAGGAGTCTGTGTGAGAAAGGAAAGGAAGAGGGGTCCTAGAAAGCAGAGATCTTCATAACTGCTCTACCTCAGAGGAGACATCATCCGTGAAGTCACTTGCTAAGTGTAAATTTAGCAGAAAGATAAAAGGATTAGATAACACCTACTCATAGGTTTATTGGGCAATTCTTATGGAATCAGGCCCTTTGGAAATTATGATTGCAGGTAGATATTATTCTTCAGGTATCTTAGATGAGGGAACAGAGATATAAAGAGCAAAAAGACAAAAACCTTGGCCAAAGTCAACAAGCAGAAAGTGGCAAACCCAGGTCCTGAGAGCAGATTCGGTCCTAAGCTCCAGGCCTTTGCTCACCTCACTGGGTTGGAGCATCATGGATTTCAACTTGACCCTGAGGAAGCATGGGAGGCCCCATTCTCTCCTCCACCCACAGCACCGTCGTGACCACCAACACCTGGATTAGAGCTTCATGACGCCGTTTCCTTCCCTACCTTGGAAGGGCCATTGGTTCCCAGAATCAGCATTGGCTGAGAAGCTGCAGGTGGTGGAGGAAAGGCCCCGCTGGGCCAAGCCGTTCCCACAGTGGAACCCTTGATCCAGCTGTAGTCGCAGACAACTGGGCACCAGGGTGCTTGGTTCCAGCTGTGCCTGTGAAACTTGCACCTCTGACTGGTGGTGGCTCAAGTCTCCACTCCAAGTCCCTTGGGGACAGGCCGCCTCGGTGGGGGCTGAAAGGAGAAGGGGCTTCAGTAGGAACAATCTCAGTTTTCCCTTTGTTAAGTCATCCCAGAACACCCATCCCTGATGTCCCTGCTCTCAGTAAAGCCACCCAGTGACCCACGCCACACAGACAGACATCATGTAAATGCAGGTGACGTCACCTCTCCTGCCTGTGCCTGGGGACGCTGACACGGTAGGGGCCCAGGCTGGGGTGTCCCTGAGGTAAAAAACCTCTGCTTCAGCCCAGAGGGCTTTGGATTGTCTAACAAGACCATCCCGATTATTCTGTTACTATTCCTCTCTTTCCTGTGCCCAGGGGGAAAGTTCTAGAGAGGCCTCAGAGCACAGGAGAGGAATGGTTATTTTTCTCCACACACAGGGGTGTAAGAACGGGTCAAGGGTTAGAGCTGCGAGGCTTTGAGAAAGAACCACGAAAAAGGGGGCTGGGATGCTACAGACCAAACGCTAAGTGAGGCAAACTTTTCTGGGTTCGGGGACATTTTGAATTTCCCATTGACTATAATGGTTTGACCCCCTACCCACACATATCCATCCTCTTGCCATATAGTGGGTGTCAGCAGACATAGGCAATGTAGGAGAGGGACCAGTCCCTTCCTGCAAATTCAGGGGCCACAAGTGCTACAGATCAGCATGTGCGGTTCCTTAGGAAGGCAACACAGGACACGATCCTCACATTACCCACTCCTCCAGTGGGGTTCGGGTGGCACCCCTTAAACAAATTGTTTCCATTTCCACAGGGAGAGGAATACACGTTCTGAGTGGACTAAGAAAAGACTTCCAATGACCTCACGCCAGTCCAGGTCGGTCTCAAGATGGGGACGGGGCCTGCAGACTGGATCCACGTTGCTGTGGGGCTCCTCTCTCTCCTCCCCTCTCCACATCTTCATTCTCTCCAAGGTTTTCTAAGTTTTCTTAAAAATGCCTCATTGTTCTCAGCTCCAACATGGAGATGCCACTGCCCACTTGGGCGTGTCCCTTGATCCCTGAATGGTTTATAGCAGGACAGAGCTTGCTTGCAAAGGGGCAGGGCATACAGCAGGTGCAAGGTCAGTGTGTATTCTAATTGTTTCATGAATCACTGTGATGCTAGAAAAGCATTTGCTTTTTTGAAACTCAGGGAGAAATGCAAAATGGGAAAGGGGCTGGTCCCAGTATGAAAGGCACTTACTGACCAAAATAGAATAGAGGCCAACATTTTTGTTGCTAGTTTCTTTCTTTGTGTGTGTGTGACACAGGGTCTCACTTTGTTGCTCAGGCTGGAGTGCAGTGGTGCAATCGTGGCTCACTGCAGCCTCAACTAACCAGGCTCAGGTGATCCTTCCACCTCAGCCTCCCAAAAAGCTGGGACTACAGGTGTGTACCCCCATACTCTGCTAATTTTTTTTTTACAGATACGGTTTCACCATGTTACCCACACTGGTCTCAAACTCCTGAGCTCATGCGATCCACCTCCTTAGCCTCCCAAAGTGCTGGAATTACAGGCGTGAATCAACACACCTGGCATTTTTGCTAATCTCGTTACAACATAATCCAATATACTGGGGGACATCACAGAGTTCCTTGCTCTTACTAGAAGATAATGTAATGGGTAAAACCCCCAACAATCCACATGAAATTCCCAGAATTGAAGTAAAAAAAAAAGAGAACGAGCAAGAAGAAATGAAAATTGGATTTTCTTTTTACATGTCCTGTGAAGCTGCTATCTCAAGGGGCGATTGCTCAGAGGAAGGGTTTTCTGGACCTCATGGGGACAGGAACCACTCTGCTTTGCTCATCGGTTAGGCCAGAGCCTCATGAGGGACACTAGTTGTCGATGGTTTTCATGAGAATAGAGCACTGAGACCAAAACTTGATTGACACTACAAACCCACACATGGAGAAAACCACTGGAGCTCTGCAGAGGATGCAAGCCCGGCCACACATAAAGGAAGGGTCGCTGGACTGCGTCAGTGGAGGGAAGACACCTCAGAGGAAGTAGAGCCGCAGTCCCAAATCTTTTTGGCACCCGGGACTGGTTTCATGGAAGACCATTTTTCAGGCACCAGGTTGGGGGGGATGGTTTTGGGATGATTCAAGCACATTCCATTTACTGTGCACTTCATTTCTATAAATATTATATTGGAATATATAATGAAATAATTATACAACTCACCATAATGCAGAATCAGTGGGAGCCCTAAGATTGTTTTCCTGCAACTAGATGGTCTCACCTGGGGGTGACAGTTACTGGGAGACAGTGACAGATCATCAGGCATTAGATTCTCGTAAGGAAAACACAATCTAGATTGCTGGCATGCACAATTCACAATAGAGTTCGAGCTCCTGTGAGAATCTAATGCCACTGCTGATCTGACAGGAGGTGGGATCCAGGCTGAAATGCTCTCCCACCGCTCACCTCCTGCTCTGCGGCCCAGTTCCTAACAGGTCATGGACCCATAATGGCCCATGGCCCCAGGGCTGGGGATCCCTGAAGAAGAGAATCTAGCTTGGGACACAGGAATCATGAAACAGGCCTCCAAATAATTGGGCAAAACTCCCAGCATATGTGGATGGCCAGAGAAGAGATAAAGACATGGAATTAGCAAGATAATTTCAGAAAAGAGAGATGCCCTATCTTAAAGAAGGAGGGCTGTTACATAAATTTCTCCAGCTGAGCTACTGTGGCCAGGAATTTGCCATAAGCCCTCACCACTCCCTTCTCTGGCCTGTTTTGATAGCCAAAGCCTGCTCCTGTGAGAAGGAGCCAGGTGACAGAGGAGGCACTTGGAACAGGAGAAGAGGAAGTTCTACCCAGTGGATGTCTGTGCTTAAAACTGGATCCAAGAGCCAGATTCAAAACAAGCTCAGTGTATAGAGCCTGCTGCAGAGATGGTCTGTCTCAGCTGCACAAGTTGCAGGAAACAAAACATACAGAGGCTGCCTGGGAGGACAGTGGAGCTTTGTGATCTCCAGGGTGAAGTACTCACAGGCTACATCCAGAGCAGAGCAGGCAAGCTGATCCTCCAATGAGGACAAGGTGCTGCTATAAGGCTGGTGGCAGTCAGACACGTCATGGTGAACTGAGGGAGTCAAGTAAACTTCATTCACAGAGTCCTCTGGGACTTCCTGCTCCTTCACCTCTGGCAGCTCCTGGCTGAGCCTGGGGTAAAGAAGACAGAAGATAAACACCAGAGAGAACCAACACCCAGCTGGTTCTATAGGGAGGCCCTTAGGAAGGCCCAGAGGAAGCAAAGTACATTCCCCTGAGAGAGATACAACCATCCTTCCCTGTCTCGAGTAGGAGACAGAGCACGACAGGCTCTCAGTGCACTGGGCAGGCAATGAGCTGGGGAGGAAGCAGATGGAGTGATCCCTGCGGGGAACTGCCAGGACACAGTGCATTCGGCACTTTTGCATCCATTTTGTTGAAATTAGCGTCAGTGGCCAAATGAATACAGGCTCTTGAGTCTTCACAGAGTTCCTGTATCCTCAACAGCTCTTGTTCTCAACATTGTAGCATGGCATGATTTATTTTCATTCACTTCCCTGCTATCGAATACTTGCAAACATGGTAATGCCAAAGAGGCAGACATCAGATGTGCAACTCAACTTCACTTTAAGCAAAAAGGACAGAAAAGGGGACTGCAGAAAATGTCTGTGAGTGATCAGTTCAACAGAGTCAACTGAATGCAGATTAGACGAATTGAAAGGAATTAATAAGGAGGAACTAGAAATACAGGTGTACAATGAAAAGAGTCAACCTTATGAATATGGCATTTCATGGTTGGCTGAGCAGATGGAACAGGTATATTCAGCACACTCTGATTTTCCCTGCATCTGAGACTCCAGATATCAACACGAATTAACTGTTCAGGATTCCTCAGAGTTACCTGGGGCATGGTGGGCTTTGGTCTTCTATCTCCTCTTGATCCTTTTTAATTTCTGTAAATAAATTCACAAAGGGACAGACAGATTAAGCAGGTTCTCCTACACACATAAACAATCCACTGTGCAATCCTAACATAGAAACGTCAGTTTCCTCAGTGGGAGAACAGGACACTGTGAGAGAAATATTCCAGGAGGCCTGAGGTCCTGTCATGAGAGAGATGCCTTGGTTTTCTTCCCTGGGCCTAGGAATGCAATCTCCCTGTTCTGGTAGATCATTATCCCAACATCATCTGTCCTGATTTTGTGCAAACAGTTATGCAAATTTTTCACACCAGTTGAAGGCAAATACCCCAGCTGCTTTCTAGAAGGAAAACTGTAATATTCAGCTTTCAATCATCAAATACTCACGTTGTTCATGGTTACAAGGATTTTAGACACTGAAACTAGAATGTAGGAGGGAATCTACAGACGCTTGGATGAAAATGAATCTTTGGTTCAATACAAAGAGACATTGGCTATTCGTGACATCTAGGAGTGACAAGGCCCAATCTTGTTTCTAGAAACATAACAAAAGGTAATGGACTGCTCAGCTAAAACAGGATAACATCAAAGACATAGAGAATGAGGCTAGGTTCTTTGAAACCTGGGTAATATCTTTAACGAAAAGTAGACAAAAATGCCACAGGCGTTGGGCAGGCATAGAATCTCACAGGACATGGTTGGGGAAAGGAACTTGTAAGGAACACGATAGCTGGCAAGACAAATCTTATTCAGATTAAGAGGCCTGACAGACACCTGTTGGGCACGTGCTGCATAGGTTGGTGTGAATTTGTCAATGTCGTGACAGTGGGCGCAGGGTGACACAGGCATGGTCTGAGATGAGGAAGAGAGCAAAGCTCACTGACCCACCCCTGTCTGTGCTTCCAACTTGATTTTTGATGCTGATGCAAATCATCCTGTGTCTGTGAGTCACGCCCACACCAATGACACATCTCAGTCCAGCCAGGGATGTGAAGTGCAAGGATTACGGAGTCTACCTGGGACACCAATTGGAGATTTATCATGTTCACAATGGAGTACTCACTGTCTACAAGAGCCAAGCTGACTTGCTTGTCTTCAAAAGAGTACAAAGTGCTCCAATAAGGGTGGTAGGAGGGAGTCAGGTCAGGAAGGATGGAAGGAGTCAAGCAACATCCATCCAGTGACTCCTGGGGGATTTCATGCTTGTCCACTCTCAGCGGTCCCCTGCTGAGCCTGTAGGGTAAGAAGGACTAAAGATTAATCCAAGGAGTTTCAGAGCCCTAGCTGGATTTCACGTGAGGCATGAGGGAGTGATCGCAGAAAACAAATGGGTCAACCCATTAAACAGTTAAATATTCTCCTCTTCTTGGTGGGCACAGTGTGGTTGCCATGGGTAGGTTGCAATACAGAGAGAGGGAAAGAGAGAGATGAGAGAGAGAGAAGCATCAGGTGCTCAGCAAAGTAGCCAGATTATGATTTTCTGAGGAAGGAGACTGAGTCTCTCTGTATGGTAGAGTCGTGACTTACTGAATATCATGTCCTATAACAGTGGTTTCATTCCTTTCTTTTAAATGATGTTAAATTTTATGTGTAGTGGCCAAGTAAACATAGGTTTTGAGGCATAATCGTATCCCCGAAATCGCATGGCATCAAGTCCTCTTTCTCTCAATATTGTGCATGGTATAACAATAATTTTTTCTACCTAATTTCCTTGCCTTGAAATGCTCACCACTGTGCTAATGCAAAACCAGCAGAAAGCAGATATGCATCTCAGGCTGGTTGACACCATAAGAAGAGTATACTTACTTTAAGGAAATCTGTGTGACTGATTAGTTGTTCACAAGGTCAAGTGGTTTGATGTACTGAACTTGAGAAGTTAATAAGAAATGCAAACATTAAAAGTTTCACAATGAAAATGTAAAACATGGTTAAAAAAGATCATTTCCGGTTGGCTGAAGGGATGAATTAGGTATATTCAGGACTTTCTGGTTTTCTGTGGAGATGAGTTTCACAGATATCACCCCTGAATAGACAGCCCCTGATTTTTCTCAATTACCTGGGAGCAACTGTTTCTTGTCCTTTCACCTCTTCAAGATCACTTTGCTTTTCTGTAAATAAATTAAGAGAAGACCAGCCAGGTGAACCTGATCACATTCACACATGCACAACCTTGTGTCCAAATCTACATAGGGGCATAAATACACGCAGTGCGAGAACAGGCTATTGTGAGAGAAACTTTCCAGGAGGTCTCAGGGTGAGCCTTGTGAGAAGTCACTAGGTTTGCTTTCCTGAGTCATGGAGCAAATCTCCCTGATCTGACAGGTCATCATCACAGTCCCTTCTGTCTTGAGTCACAGCAAACTGTTAACCATATCCTGTTTACTAACAGATCCTGGGGATCTACTTTAATGCTTCCTAGCAGGTTACTGCAGTATTCAGCATGTTTCCTTCTGATAAGCTGTTGTCAGTGTTTTTGTAGAATTTGCATTTAGAGGGACAGATTAAATCAAAAGAATCTCTAATGCTACATGGAAACATTGGCCTTTCATATGGCAGGGAGTTCCAGGGCCCGGCCTCCTTTCAGAGAAACATACAAAATTTAATAGTGGTGTTCATGTTCTGGTACTCAGAGACTTCTTAGCTAAGACAAGCCTACTAAAAGGGGAGGGAGTCTAGCCTGAGAGAAGTGAACGAGGGAAATGACAGCTCCAAGAATATCGATAAGGCTGCCAGTGGCCTTGGACAGGCAGAGAAACTCAGGTTGTTTGGGAGGGAAAATTAGATTTCATGTGAGATGACAGATTAAATCTAAATCAGGAGGACTGGTAGATACACCCTGCACCCAGGCTGCAGAGGTGGGTATGAATTTGTCAGGTCAACCTTGGGTACAGTGATCTGCCAATGGGGCAATGATGAAAGACAATGTGTGGTTTTGGACTAGAATGGAGCACAACTCTGACTTATAGGATGCCTTCCTTCAAACTCAATCCTAGAGCCTGGTTCTAACCAGTATATAAGCATAGAGTCTTCCTGAAGGTATGACATCCGTCACTATGGACAAATCTGGGGTACAAACAATAGGGAGCCTACCGAGGAAGCCAAGTGAGGTTTCATCCCATTTGGGATTGGAGTAATCCCTGGCAACATCCTGAGCGGAGCAAACTTTCTGTTCATCCAATGCCAAGAAAGAGACTTCACGATGCCGGTAAGAGTTGGACTTGTCATGGTGTCTAGAATGAGACAAAACACATTTCTCTGGCAAGTCCTGCAGGACTCCCTTCTCTTCAGAATCCTGCAGCTTTCTGATGAGCCAGGTAGGATAGAACGACAGAAGGTTAGACCAAGACAGATTCAACACCATAGTATCTCAGGTGATTTGATAGGACACAAAGGGTGTGGTCACAGAAAGCAAAGGGGGGTCTCCTCCAAGAGAGAAAAATCTATCCTTCTAAATGTGGGGTGGAGTGTGACTGTCCTGGAGACAGAGCAAACATGAGCAGCAGGTGCTCAGTGCACTTGCCACAAACGAGCGGCTGCAGGAGGACCCAGACTCTCCCTGTAAGCTAGCATCAAGCATCATGACTTGCAGCACTGAGAACTAAGCTGGGACTTCACTTCCTTTACACAAATTGCGTTGACATTACATGCAGCATCCAAGTGAACACAGCTCTTGAGGCATTCCCAACGCACAGATCCTGTGTTTTTAAGGTCCCCCTTTTTTTTCAATATTTTGACATAATATGAAATTTTTATTTTTAATTTTCTCGATTGCATTCAAATACTTGCCAACATGCTGTCACAAAACATACAGAAAGCATATATGCATCTCACCCTGGATTAGCCACATGGGAGACCACAGGTGAGATCAGGAAATCCCTGAGGTTGGTCAGTTCACCTGGTTCAAGTGATTGTCGGTTCCTATGCTTGAGAGGGATTAAGAAATTGAAACCTATTCAAGTACCACAATAAAGAAGACAACATTGTTAAAGGGGCAATTTGCACTTGGATGAATGGATGAGACAGTTCTATTCGTCACTTCCTATTTTCCCTTGATCCGTGGTGTCCAGATGTCACTATTGAACTAACAGCCCACAAATCCACAGTTACCTGGGGGGCACTGGCGCTTTCCCCTCCTCCTCCTCATGGTCATTTTGATTTTCTGTAAACAAATTCAGAAGAGCAGGTCACAGTAAGGAAATCACACAAGAGCAAATAAGTGTCCAGTCATAGCACAAGAACATAAATATCCTCAGTGTAAGAATGTGACATTTTGACAGGATCATTCTGACTTATTTTCAGAAGTAGATGTGCCTGCTTTCCAGACCCATAGGACAAAATCTCCCTCATCTGGTAGATCATAATCACCTATCCTCTGACCTAAGTCTGTGCAAACAATTAAACAAAACTTTTTCCCCAAGATTTTCAAAAATTGCCCTAACCACTCTCCAGAAGTGTTGTTGCAATACTGATTTATCTCATCATATATCATGGTCAACGAATGGTTAGAGAAATTTGTATAGGAGACTGAACTGATGGATAAATTCTAACAATCCTTGCATAAAAAAGAGTCTGCGGTGCTACACAGAAACATTGACCGCTCATGGGGTGAAGAACTCAGGGCCCAGCCTCGTTTAGGGAAACTTATAAGCAAGATAAAGGTAGAAGTGTTTATGTCCTGCTTTCAAGGTGACTGCTTAGCTGGGACAAGCTGACCTAAAGGAGACCAAGCCTGGGGCCGAGAACAGTGAATCCAGAGACACATCTCCAATTACATAGGCAAGACTGTCAGTCGCCTGTGACAGGCATAGAAACTCCATGGACATTGTTCAGGGACACAAATCATTATTGCATGTGACAAGAGACATAGGAACCGAGCCAGGAGGCCTGACAGATACCTCCTGTACACAGGTGGCTATGACTTTGTCACACCTGCCTGTGGTCCAGTATGCTAATATTGGGGCCAGGAAGACAAAGTCCATGCCATGGGCCTAGGAGGAGAGGAATGTTCTCTGACCCTCACATAACTGTGTTTAATATTCTATCATAGTTTCTCTCTTTCTTTCTTTCTTTTCTTTTCCTTCTCTCCCTTTCTTTCTTTTTCTTTCTTTCTTTCTTTTTCTTTCTTTCCTCTCTTTCTCTCTCTCTCTCTCCTCTCTCTCTCTCTGTTTCTTTCTTTTTCTTTTTTTGAGACACAGCCTCACTCTGTCACTCAGGCTGGAGTGCAATTGTGGCTCACTGCAGCCTTTACTTCCTGGGCTCAGGTGATTCTCCCGCCTCTGCTGCCTGGGTAGTTGGGATGACAGGCACGCACCACCATGCCTGGCTAGTTTTTCATGTTTTTTGTAAAGATGGGTTTCATCACATTTCCCAAGCTGGTCTTGAACTCCTGAACTCAAGTGATTCACCCGCCTGGGCCTCCCAAAGTGCTGGGATTATAGGTGTGAGCCACCGCCCCCGGCTCCACTATACTTTGTGATTCAAACCAATATGTATGTATACAGTCTGTCCTCAGAATTGATCTTCCTCAGCCTAGACAGAGCTAGGAGGGACAAAGAATAGAGAGGCTACCTGGGGGAATGTTTAGAGCTTCCTCCTCTTCATCATGAGGGTGTTCACTCTCTACAACCAGAGCAGAGTCAACTTCGTGTTCCTTAAATGTGATTTTGGTGCTCCTGTGAGGCTGGTTGGAGTTAGAAGGGTTGTGACTATTTGAACAAGTGACAGCACATTCCTCCAGTGAGTCCTGAGGGACTTCCTTTTCTTCAGTCTTCTGCACCTCCCTGATGAGCCCAGTGGGATAGAGATGACAGAAGATTAATCCAAAAGGCATTGCACCCCAAGAAGTCCTAGGTGGTTTTGAAAGGAGGCTTAAGAGAGTGGTCCCAGAATGCAAAGGAGAGGTTCCTTTTAAGAGGGAACAGGCAATCCTTTTCTGTCTGCAACAGAGCGTGGCTGCCATGGGAACCAGAGAGGAAGACAGCAGCTAGTGATCATTGAACTGGGCAGATAGGAGCTGAGGAGGACGAAGACTCAGCTGTCCCTGTATGGTACAGTCTTGACAGCACACACAGAGAACCAAAAACAGCTGCCACATGGTGTGTCTAAGCTGGGTTGTAGTTAACATACTGTGGCCATGGCTATACAGGCATTTGAGCCATTGTAGACTTCAGAGATGGTGTGCCTTCTAGTTTTTTTAAAATTTTAATATTGTGACATGAAATGTAAATTTTTTTGTCTAGGTACTGTACTTTGTGTTCAACTTTGCTAGGTGCTTCCTATTTCCTCTGCTTGTTGCCTCTCTGCTATTTATCTTTCCTAAAAAGAACCTAAAGACAACAGTGTAGAAAGCAGCTTTACATCTCATCCTGGCTTTCACTACAGGGGAGAACAGGTCTCCTCTGTGTGTGCAGGAAGTACCTAGGGATGGTGAGTTCATCTAGGGTCATGCTTACAGGCACCAGGAAGACAATGGACAAGCACGTTAATGGGGCTATTTCCTTGTTGGGTGAGCACATGAAATCAGTGCACTCTGCAGCTTTCTTTATCCTGCCTCTGGAATCTGTGACTACCTTCACCTCCCTTTTATTCTTTCTGAGACCTTTTTCATATTTTACCACCCATTACCCGCTCCTGATTATTCAATGTTACCTGGGGGCAGGTGATTCCTGTACTTTCTCAACCTCCTCGTCTTTGTCGTCTTCATCCTCATCTTCATCTTCATCATTTTCTGCAAATACAGATGTGTCCATTGAAATATTTCCCATTTCACCCACTGCAAGCACAGTGAGCCCTATGTGCACAGGGACATAAACATCTACATGTATAAGTCCACACTGTGCTGAAAGCTCTCATGTTTTATCTCTAAAAAAATGCCCTGGCATGTTTTCCTGATCCATGAGGCAATGCGTTTCTGATCTGGAGGGTCACCATCAAGATGTGGCCAAATATTGAAAAGACCTTTTCCTCTTCATATCACTGGAGGCTTGCCCAGCCTCTCTCTGAACTTCAGCAGCTGTCTCCCCAATCCTGCCACAGATCTGATTCCCACGCACAGGCTCTGTATCCTGTCACAGTTCGCATTTAGAACCTATATCTTTCTCTTCGAACAGGACAAACAACCTTGTCCCACAGTATTCCATACATTAGGGACTTCATGGGCCCTCCAAGTGGCTTCCACTGTGTTAACCGGGGACAATCTCTCCATGGGGAGTGCTCCAGTCTAAACCACTTCCTACCACCAAATGCCACCACATCAAGTGCCTTCTCCAACACCACACAGCAAGGGGCTTTATCTCATTGTGAAATATAGTCATAAGTGTTCCCACATTTGAATGCAAGAGACAATTTGTTTGCTTTTACAGATTTAGAGACAGAAACCCAGGAAGGATAAATTAATCAGTTGCCCACAGTTGCTAAAGACATTGCTGAAGATAGATCCTGGGAACATTCATTCTTAGTCCAGGGCTCCTTTCACTCTAAAAGCTGCTTCCTGTCACAGCCTCCTTCCTGTTCTTTAAAACTGGACGGATGTTGCCTCTTGCTCTAAAGACCACATTCCATCAAGAAAGGAGGATACATTTGCCATTCTGTAACCTCCACCCCATGGGTTTCCCATCTCTGCTCCCACCCAAGAAATTCTGATCATGTCGTGGCCACAAAAGTTTACTGGAAAGAAACACTACCCATACAATTGTCATTGTGGAGGTGTGGAGGTCTGGGGACTTTCATAAGCCTGAAGCTGTGTGTCATCAGGGCCCATGGCCACCTTACCTGGGCTCAGCTTGTGAACAAGGTGCTCTGCCAGCCTGTGCCCCTCAGCCAGCTGCTCTCGGAGGTCCTGACCCTGGGACTTGTCAGGGTCATCAGGAGTGAGGAGGGTTTTCAGATGCTTGTTCAGCCAGCGGGAGGCATCTCTCCCTTCCCGTAACTTCTCCCGTAACTGGGTCAGCTCTTTTGCCTGAGAGTGAACCAGGGCTTTATACTGCCTAAGGTGAGATAGTAGAGAACATTTAATAATGGAAAGGGATGAGTGATCAGTTCTAATACCGCAACAGAGGTTTCTGTGAGAATGTCCTCAAGGAGACCTCCAAGCAGAAGGTCAGAACATGTTTGGGGAAATGTCTGTGGCCAAGAGAAAGAAGAATATATATATATATATATACACACACACACACACACACACATACATATATACAAACATACACACACATATATATACAAACACACACACACACAGCCTTCTGATATATGAGAGAGTGCTTCTGTAATATCCTCGCAGATGTTCCATTCATCTTTTTCTTCTGTAAACAAAAGTTAGTGTCTTCCTAAATCAGTTCCACAAGGATGTCCTTTCAGTTCCTCACTTTGGCCATGGGCATCTCTATGTGAAAATTCACATAGCGCATCTTGCAGTGACTAGATACAAAGCCATGCACAGAAATGTGGCCAGGTGCAGATGGGGTGAATTGGAAAGATGAAAGAAGAAAAGAATGACAGTGTTAAGAAGGCAATATTGATTGAACAAATGAAACGCCACAGTCAGTCAAGAGGTGATTCTGACTAAGAGTAAAGGTGGTGGTGATCGCACACCATTCTGAGTATCCTAAATGCTTCTGAGTGGTTCACTTTTTTTGGTTTATTTTGTGTTATGCAAATTTTACCTCAACAATCAGTGGTTTTAAGAAGAGAAAACAAGGCTTAAGAAACAACTACAACCCATAACTTACTAAGATGACTGTTCTCTGTTTTATAAATATTTGTGTGACACGTGCCTGCCATGTAAATGCCTGCCGTTGTCCTGGCCCAGCTCAGCTCTTAGTTCTCCCAGCTGAGTTGCTGCACTTCAGAGATTCACACCCCTGCCCATCTGCCTGCCCCCAATGGGGCCCGCTCACCTGAGCTCCTCAGCTTGCCTGAGCTTCTCTGCCAGCTTCTCCATGGACTGCAGTTCATCCCTCAGCACAGAGTCTATGATGTCTTTGTACTCTTCACACTCTGAGAAAAGACAGACACGCCTGCCTCAGTGGAAGGTGGGACATGCTGCTGGGGTCACTGTCTATAGGGCAGGCGGCAGCATCCATCCCAAGGACGAAAGCAGCTCCAGTACCAGGCTCCAGGCAGGCATTTCCACATCTTTATTTATCAACCTCCCAACTTTCTGGCATCTGATACTCCCCAACTCAGGGATGGGGAGAAAGAAACACAAGGGCACATCAAGTAACTTGACAAGATGATTCACCTGGAAGAAGGCGGAGTCAGAATTCACAGCCCCTGAGGTCTGATTCTGAATCCTGGGCCACTTTCCCAAGCCTTGCGGCCTCTCCTGTAAAACACTGCACTGGTGCATGAAGTAGTGATTTTCTATACAGTCAGGAAGGCCCTAGGACTATGGGACCCAAAGTTTCCCTTGTACTGGGAATTTCAAGTGCGAATATGTCAAACATTTAAAAAATCATATCTGGATATAATTGCATAAAATATGAGGCACAAGACCGTGAGGCTATAGTAGAAATATGCCCAAATACTAATAAAGTTTGAATTAAGTTAGAAATAGTAGAATGAAGAACTAATAGATAGTGTTTACTCTGTTCCAAGAACTGTTCTAGGAAATTTACAAGAAATAGGTCATGTAATTCATTGCAGTAATTTACAGAGGTAGGTATTATTATAGTACTCAATGAGCAGATGAGGAAACTGAGGCACAGAGAAGATAGGCAACTTGGATGGAGCCCAGGAGACTGGCCCAGGGTCCCTGCTCTGCACACTACACTGCTACCTCTACAATGTCTCATGTGCCATCTTTCTTCCTCTTCAGGAATAAGAGCCTGTGCCCCAGGAAGCAGCACTTCCCTCTCACTGGGACACTCCCTGCTTTGAAGGGTGTCACAGATATCACAGTTTCTGTTAGGGGCAGTCTCCTCTTTAAGCTCCTTAGAGTGGGTACTCTGTACAGTTGCCATGTTTCCCCCAGGGTCCTCTGGATGAAGCTTTGCCTATTGGGCCTCAAAGAAGCTTGAACTGAATGGAAGTTCATTAGTCCCAGACATTTAGACCAACAGACTAGATGTTACTTGTCTGTAGAATCTTATATGGTACAGAGAGGATTCTCATAAACATGATTTAGCCTCTTACTGAGGAAAACAGGTGGTTCTGTGCCTGTGTCAGAAGACAATAAGTAGGATTTTAAGTCTAGTCCCACCTCACACCAGACTGCCAATGTGGAAAAGTTGCTAAATACTTTGTGCCTCTGTTTTCCATGTTTAACAAAATGAGGTTAAAACATCCACTTCTATTTTCCTAGAAGTATGGGAAGGATGAAATTAATTTCGATGAAAAGACCGTTCAGTTTCTCAGAACACAGGTGATCATTCATCACGTTCATCATTGTGAATCTATAGAACTTACTGTATTTCTTCAGCTGGTTGGCCAGGGAGTAGGCAGTAGCTTGAGTTATAAGGAATTTCTCTTTGAGGTCTCGGAACTGCTGATTGCTCTCTGCCAGCTGCGAGCGCAATTCCTGGTTGATTTCTAGGATGTTCATCTCTGCCCTCTCGCTGGACAAAGGGTCGGCAGATACCACCATGCTGACGTTTGTGGCAGAAGAGGTAGAGCCAGGGACTGGGGAGAAGAAACCCAGACACATGATGGGTCAAAAACTAGTGAAATCAATTAGGTTTAATCAGGACTGAGAGATGACAATTACTGGAATTGTTAACTTACGGTTGAGAAAAAGTTGATGAACACGACACAACACTTTAGAGTCCTTAACCGCAAAAACAGGGACCGGGATGCCTGAGCTCAGAGCTGAAGGCACTGCCTGTAGCTCCGACTCTGACAAGAGTGAGGGAGGTAGCAGCCAGCGTACCAGGTAACGGTCTGCAGTTGCAATAACAGAATTAGAAGGTGGGGGTGTCATGGAATCTTAGAAACCCTGCATTCCAATTGCCCAGGCTGTGCTGAAACACTAGGCCCCCTGGTCTCACCTGAGGGTCACTGATGGGGACCATTTCTTCAGCAGTCACTCTCAGTATTTGTGCACCCTTGTGACAATGCTACAGGCCCACCTCTTTCTCAATACATATAAGCATATTCCTCATTGTTCATCTCTTGTGTGTATAAAATCATCAAGGTAGGGATAGTTTTCCAGAAGGTTATATTTTCTTAGTGGTAGTCATCAAGTCACCTCACCTTCTTTTTAAGGTAAAATGATCTTAATGCTTTTCCACAAGTGAAAGATAGCAAACTTTTAGTCTGCTATGATATCCCTCTGGGTCTTCTGCAGTTTTTTCTGTATCGACTGAAAATGAAGGAATAATTCACTTTTAAAAAAGATATTCTACCCTGTCTCAGTATTCTTGCTGCATCCCATTGTTATGTTGATTTCTTTTCTCTTACTGGGGCAGCATCTTGGCTTTTCATTACACTTAAGACCAGTTTCACATCCCTACGTCCAAAGCTCTTCCTCTATGTGTGGGTCGGTTTGCTTTTTTAATGTCACTGAACACTCGTTTCATACTTGTCACTTACGAATATCATTCTCGTCCCAAAATAGCTCTTTTCAAGGTATCAAGTGATCAAAATCATTTGTATATATCCCCTGAAAACATGTGTGACCATCTATCTTGGGAAGTCTTGTAAACCTGATGGTATTTTGTTGTTTTTAGTTTTCCCATATATTGAAAAGAACAGGGCATTGAACGCTTCTCAGGGAATATTGTTGGAGATATATATATATATATATATATATATATATATATATATATATTTGCTCTAACACTGTTGATGTGTGGTTGCATTCCACTAACCGAACCTGGCAAGATCAAGCTCATGGTCACGGGTGGTTGGTGATCCTCAGTGTTCCTGTGCAGTAGAAGGTGAGTTTGAGATGAGAGGGATGAGTAGGGGAGTGTGCTCCCCCAAACCGCCTCCTCACTTTCTCAGCTTCCATCTTCAACTAGGTCTTGTGAGGCTAGGACTTGGGAGATTGTCCTGTAGCCCAGGTCTCCTAAGTGTGGCTGCTGGACTTGCCTGAGTTGAGGGTGTGATGAGTGTGACCACGGGCTACGCAGCATTCATGTGGAAGTGAAGGAGGAGGACTGGATCAATCCCAGTGGAAAGCGCACCTCTCAGCAGCCCGCACCATCCTCCACCTACACTGTGTAGTGACAGTGCTTTGAGATGTAGCAAAGGCTATAAATTTATCTGTTCTCTGGTGTCTCAAAGACCTGACATTCTGTGTCAGAATGAAAATCTGTCTAGTTTCTTCACTTTAAAAATGATAAAACTGCAGGTTCACAAAGTTACTGGTTTACTTGAGGTCACACAGGGATGCATTTTGAGCACTGCCAATAAAAGGAATCACAATAATTATTCAGTAATTATTTATAGAATCCATGTAATTCAATAAATAAAAATAATTATTTATTGACCAATTCATACTAGGCATTTTGTTCAAAACTGTACACATACTTGGATATCATATTTTCATCATAATCCTTAAGGCAATGTTATTATCCATAAGAAACAGGTAAGAAACCTGAAGAAGAGGGATAGCAAATCATGTATTTGGCTATATTTCTATTTTTTGGTTTCTGTGATGCTGGAAGAATGACCAGAATGAGTCATGGGAATAGCATTCATTCCTGTGTCATTTTCCAGGACAGAGGTGTGCCCTCCTTCAGCATTGGGACCGAAATTCAGAAGTGTCTGCAACCTTGCTTTAACAGTGTGGGAAATAACCTCTATTACCTGGAATTTCACTGGAACTTTGGAATATACAAGAGAAATATGAGACTTGGGTCTTCCCCTGGCTGTATTTAATTCACTATTCTATTGAGTACCAATGATTCTCATTAAGACTTTTGCCTTTTTATAACTTTTCTTTCTGACACAGAATGTCAGGTCTCTGAGACACCAGAGAATAGATAAATTTACAGCCTTTGCTACATCTCAAAGCACTGTCATTACACAGTGTAGGTGGAGGATGGTGTGGGCTGCTGAGAGGCATGCTTTCCGCTGGGATTGATCCAGTCCTCTTCCTTCACTTCCACATGAATGCTGGGTAGTCCATGGTCACACTCATCACACCCTGAACTCAGATACAACATATATTTT
Organism: Homo sapiens; assembly: GCF_000001405.40. Taxonomy (NCBI): domain Eukaryota; kingdom Metazoa; phylum Chordata; class Mammalia; order Primates; family Hominidae; genus Homo; species Homo sapiens. The sequence goes on from NW_017852928.1 coordinate 258,335, forward strand.
ATGTATAGACACAATATGTATTTTATGGAGAAGATTTTACTCTTAGCTCTATTTAAAATGAATAATCTAAGCACTGGTTTAGGTTTTATGCCCTGGACTTGATATTTTTTCTGATTTCTGTTTTGAGATTAAATTCTCATGTAGATAGAAAAATGCTTATTACTTATAAGAGCAAATTAGTTATTGATTTGAGTTTCTGAAGTCGAAGCACAAACTTTTGTTTTTAATCTTTGTCTGACCCCATCAGTGCCACTCATTGTCTCTCAGAATGACCTGGCCGTGATCCTGCACTTACCCTCGTCCTGCTGAACCATTTCCACGCACTGTCCAATTCCATCAGTGATCTGGGCTCTTCCCAAAGCTCCTTGAAATGGGTCCAGGTCTCAGGATGTCAGACACCTTCCAGACACAAAAGTAACCCATACTGTAGAGAGCGCAGCTGGGTTCCCACCTCCCTGAAGTTGGCAGGGATGTCCTAGGGCAGGAAGGAAGGCTTTCCCTTTTTAGCGGGTCTTTTCTTCATGTCTCAGTGCCTCTGATCTAGTGAACACAATTGTCCTGAGCGGGAAAGAACTTGCTAAATTTCTGGTTTCTTGTTAGGTTGCTAGAATAGATTTGTAAGAGTTCCTTGTTTACCCATGTCTGCTGAAGTTTGAATTCTTAGCCGTATGATTTCTTTTCTTGTAAATTGAGCAGCTTGGAGAAAACTGGCCCTGTTGCTATGCAAAAAGATGTAAACTTAATTTCTACTCAAAGCAAGTTTGAATTTGAAACTAGGGCTTCCACTGTTTCAATGTTGGACTGTCACTACCTCAGGCATGTGTCCCAAAGTGCTCCTGTCTCTGCTGTACTCAGGATAAAGTTAAGATGGAGCCCAGCAAGCCAGGTTTCCTTCACTTCTAGGTTCCCTCAACAGTTTTCTCCACTTTAGAGAATGCATTGAATATATTCTTGTTCTGCTTCTGTGTTTGGGCTTTGGAATGATGTGATGCAGCTCAATGGTTCCTACCCCCAAGTTGATCAGAGTAAGAAACATCTGGAAGGTCAGTGCAAATACAAGATCATTGTCCTCCTTGCAGGGATTCTGATTCAGTGCGCTCAGTTGGGGCCTGGAATGTGTTTGTTAACGACTTAGATGTGCAGTCAGACTGGGGACCCTCTGATACCACGGACCTTACAGTTTATGGGATGATTCTGTTTTGCTGATGACAAAACCAAGGCACAGAGAGTCTGTAACTTGCCCAAGTTCCCTTTGCTGTTAGTACTGGAGCCAGATCTCAGAAAGAGTCCCCTCCCCCAATCCCCTTTCCACATTTTCCAATTCAGTTGTGTGGTTCTTTCCAAGTAGGTGTTTCTCTCCCCTGTACCTCATTTCTGCAAAACAAACAAACAAACACACATTAAAAAACAAAACAAACAAACAAACAAAAAACCTTCTTGAATTCAATTTGTTTCATTTAATACATTTCCTCACAACATGCAGTCAGCATTATGTTCTGGCCACTTACTATGAGTGTGAGATGCTTTTTTTTTTTTTTTTTTTTGAGACAGGTTCTCGTTCTGTCATCTAGGCTGGAGTGCTCACTGCATACCCAAATCCTGGGCACAAGTGATCCTCCTGCCTCAGCTTTCCAAGTAGTTCGAACTCTAGGCACACATCACCATTTCTGGCTTTTTTTTTTTTTTTAATTTTTTGTAGAGACAAGGTCTTGCTGTGTTGCTCAGGCTGGTCTTAAACTTCTTTCACTCAAGAACTTTTTATTGAAAAGTCTTTCATTTCCCCAATGAGAGGCACTGGCGTGTTTGTTTTTAAAAACTTTAAATAACTGTATATATGTGAGCATAATGTTTGAGTCTGTATTCTTTTTATCTTGATATACTTCTATATACTTACACTAGTACTATAGTTTTTAAATTATTGTAGCTCTAAATGAGTTTTGAAATCCAGCAGAATAACTCCTACAACTTACTGCTTCTTCAAGACCAACTTGCCTGTTCTAGCTTTTTTGATTTTCAAATACATTTTGAAATTAGCTTTTACATTTCTCTAAAAATTCCTACTGGAAACATTAGTCAGAATTATGTTGATGTAATATCTTAACAAAATTGAATCTTCCAATCCATGAATGTAATATATATTTCTCTATTTAGTCTTCTTTAATTTCTCTCACCAATAGCTTTCAGGGGCTTTGTACCTGCTTCATTATATGTATTCTTAAATATGTAATGATTTTGGATATTAATCTCTATTATGTTTTATTGAATTTCATTTTCTAGCAGCTAATTGCTAGTATGGAGAAATTAAGATGATTAAATAAACTTTATAAAGGTATTTATTAAGTACAATAGACTGCACCACTTTAAACTATGTAATCCAATGCATGTTCACAAATGTATACACTAATGGAACTACTGCCATAATCAAGATATAGGAATTTCCATAAGCCCAAAATTTCTTGTAACCCTTTGCAGTTAATCAGTATTTCAACCCTCAGGTTCAAGGAGCCACTGTCACTTTCTGGCAGTGCCTTTTTCACCATTTTCTATAAATGAAATTATACCTGTGTTCTTTTGCATCTGCCTTCTTTCATGCATCATATTAATTTGAAAATCCATCCATGTGAGCATTTTCGTCAACAGTTAATGCCTTGTAATTGCTGAGTAGTATTCCTTTGTGTGGCTACACCATGTTTGTTTATACATTCACTTGTTATTGGACATTTGTGTCATTCTAGGTTTGGGCTATAATGCATAAAGTATCATGAGCATCCACATACAGATCATTGTGTGGACATAGAGTGTAAATTCCTAGGAGTGCAAGGACTGTCCATTTGATCTGTACATGTTTAGTCTTATAAGAAACTGTTAGCCAGATTTTCAAAGGAGTTGTACCATTTTTCATTTCCACAAGTATAGGACTTCCAAGTACTTTATATCCTCACCAACATGTGGTATTTTCAGTCTTTTTAATTTTAGCCATTCTCATGGACATGTAATGGTATCTCAGCATTGTATTGATTGATCTCCCTGATGACTAAAGAGTTGAGCATCATTTCATTTGCAAATTGACCCTTCATATATCTTCTTTTCTGAAGTATCTATTCAAGTCTTTTGAGAAATTGTTTCATTGTGCTGTTTATCTTATCAGACTGCATTATATATATACCATTAAAAAATCTTTTGTTGGAGATAAATATAATTTCTCCTATATTGTGGCTTCTTTTTATGTTCTCTTAATGTTCCCTGTTTTGGAGATAAAGATAGAAATCATCAAACAGGTGATTATGTATATATACATATAACTATATTCACGTCTAAGAATAATTTATTAGACATATATGTAAGGGTCTATTTCTGAGTTCTCTTTTCTCTTCCATTGATATATGTTCTATTTTTTTCAACAATACACATGGTCTTGATTTCCATAGCTGTATAGTAAATCTGGAAATAGGTAGTGAATTCATTCACCATTGTTCTTTTATAATATTGCTCTCTTATTATTCTTGATCACTGACATTTTCATATAAATCAGCTTGTAAATGTCTACCAAATTGCCTGTTGGAATTTTTTGTTAGAATTGCATTGCATCTGGAGATCAATTTGGGAAGAACTGACTTTTTAACTATAACAGCTCTTCTGATCCGTGACAAGGTTTATCTCCCCACCAATTTAGTTTGTTTATATATATATCTAATTTCTCAAAGCAATGTTTTGTAGTTTTCAGTGTACTGGCCTTACATAAATTTTCTTGAATTTATTTCTAAGCACATCACGTATTTAGATGTTACTTTAAATGAAATTGTATTTTTATTTTATTTTCCAAACACTCATTGCTAATATACAGAAATACAACAGACTATTTATATTGAACTTATATTCTGCAACATTGCCAAACTCGCTTAATAGTTTTGGTATATTTTTGTAGATTTCTGGAATTGTTTACATACATAATCATGATCCGTGAATAAAGACAGCTTCAATTCTAGACAGCTTCAATTCTTTCTTTTCAATCTTTTCAATGTTTCTGTTTATTTATGTTCTTACTTTATTGCATCGGATAACATCTCTAGTTTAATGCTGGATTGAAAGAGTAACAGCAGATATTCTACCTTTTTCGCTATTTAATAGAAAGCATTCAATCTTATTAATGTTACCTGTGGGTTTTTCAAATCTGCCCTTGCAGGGTTGGAAGTGTTGCCTTCTGTTCTTACCAAGTTGAGAGTTTGTTTTTGTTAATGATGAAAAAAGTTTTCAATTTGCCAAACGCTTTTTCTGTGTATGTCAGGGTAATCATATGCTTTTTCTCTTTTGTCCTGATAATATACAGAATTTTATCAGTTTTTTAAAATATAAAAAGATGTATTAAATCAAGCTATGGCAGTTTTAAAATAATGTTTTAAACTTTTAGCAATTATATTGATATATAACTTACATGCAAAAAACTGCACATAATTAAAGTGTATAATTTAAAAAGTTTGAGCATAGTACACATCTGCAATCAGGATTAGTAAATACAGGCCGGGCATGGTGGCTCATGCCTGTAATCCCAGCACTTTGGGAGGCCAAGGCAGGTGGATTGCTTGAGCTCAGAGTTCAAGACCAGCCTGGGAAACGTAGTGAAACCCTGTGTCTAAAAAATATACAAAAATTAGCCAGGCGTGGCGGCATGTGCTTGTAGTCCCAGCTACTTGGGAGGCTGAGTTGGGAGGATGGCTTGAGCCCAGGAGACAGAGGTTGCAGTGAGCCAAGAGTGTGCCACTGCACTCCAGTCTGGGTGATAGAACCAGACCCTGTGTCAAAAAACAAACAAACAAAAAAGATAGTGGATATATCTACCACTTCCAAAGTGTCCTTGTTTACGTAGTAATTCCTCCCTCACCTTTCTCCCCACACCTCAGACAACCACTGGTTGGCTTTCTGTCATAATAGATTAATTTAAATTTTCTCAAGTTTTCTATAAATAGAATTATATACTATGTACATTATTTTGGTTTCATTTTTTAATTCAGAATAATTATTTTGAGATGTAGCTTTGTTGTCATGTGTATTAATAGATCACTCTGCTATATTGCTAATATTCCATGTGATGGTTATATCACAGTTTATTTTATTTATTCACCTGTTCATAGATTTGGATGGCTCTGGTTTTAAAACTAAAGCTTTTATCAACGAATTTGTATGGACATATCCTTTCCTTTCATTTGAGTGAAATAGCAGTATCATATGATACGTACAGGTTTACTATTTTAAGAAGCTGCCAAACTGTTTTATAACATGCTTGTAAAATTTCACATTCCCATCAACAGTGTATGAGTGTTTTTGTTTCCATATATCTTTGCCAATATGTGGAACGGTGATTCTTTTAACTTCAGTCATTTTACTTGGTATACAGTGGTTTAAATTTGCATTTTCCTAGTGACTAATGATATTGAATATCTTGTCATATTGTTATGTGCCTTCCATATATCTTCCTTGTGGAATATCTCTACAAATCTTTTATTCATTTGAAAATTTGATTGCCTGTTTATTAATAAATTTTGAGAGTTCCCTTAGTGTTGCAGACAGAGGTCCTCTATCGGATACATAATTTCCAAATATTTTCTACCTAAGTGTGGCTTGTCTTTTCATTCTCTTACCAATGTCTTTGAAGAGCAATTTTTTAAAAGTATTATTGAAGCGTAATTTATTGTTTTGTTCTTTTACCAGTTCTTAGGGGAAATGCTTCCAGCTTTTGCCCATTCCGTATGATGTTGGCTGTGGGTTTGTCATAGATAGCACTTATTATTTTGAGGTATGTTCCTTTGGTGTCTAGTTTGTTGGGAGTTTTAACATGAAGGGATGTTGAATTTTATCAAAAGCCTTTTCTGCATCTATTGAGATAATCATGTTGTTTTCAGTTTTAGTTCAATTTACGTGATGAATCACATAACATATGTTGAACCAACCTTGCATCCCAGGAATGAAGCCTACTTCTTCATGGTGCATTGGCTTTTGGTGTGCTGCTGGGTTGGATTTGCTAGTATTTTGTTGAGGAGTTTTGTGTCTCTATGTTCATCAGGCATATTGGCTTGAAGTTTTTTTTTAATGTTGTGTGTCTCTGCCAGGTTTTGGTATCAGAATGAGGCTGGCCTCCTGATAGGAGTTAGGGTAGAGTCCTTCCTCCTCAGTTGTTTGGAATAATTTCAGTAGAATTGTTACCAGCTCTTTATTATATAAGAATTCAGCAATGAATCCACCTGTTCTGGGCCTTTTTCTGGTTGGTTGGTTTTTTATTACCAATTCAATTTAGAACTCCTTATGGTCTGTTCCAGGATTTCAGCTTTTTTCTGGTTCAATCTTGGGAGAATGTACGTTTCCAGGAATTCACCCATTTCTTCCAGTTTTTTTTTTTTTCTGGATTTGTTGAGCTGTTGTATGCATTTTCACATCTCAATTTTATTCAGTTCAGCTCTGATTTTGGTTTTCTTTTCTTCTGCTAGCTTTGGGGTTGGTTTGCTCTTCTTTTTCTAGTTCCCCTTGGTCTAATGTTAGGTTGTTAATTTTTTTCTTTTTTTATTTCAGCACAGAGTTGTTGATTCATAGATTGTTCATTTGAGCTCTTTCTAACTTCTACAAGAATGCCCACTCTTACCATTCCTATGCAACATGGTACTGGAAGTCCTAGCCAGAGCAATCAGGCAAATGAAAGAAATAAAAGGCATTGAAATACAAACAGAGGAAGTCAAACTATGTCTCTTTGCTGATGATTTAATTCTATATCTAGAACACTCCATTTTTTTTGCCCAAGACTATCCTTTCTTCATTGTGTGTTATTGGGAGCATGGTCAAATGTAGCTGACTGAATGTCTTTCCCCAAAGGCTAGAACTGCTAAGCAACTTCAGTAAAGTTTCAGGATATAAAATCAATGTACAAAAGTAGTAGCATTTGTATACATCAGTAACATCCAAGCTGAGAGCCAAATCAGGGATGCAACCCCATTCACAATAGCCACAAAGAGAATAAAATGCCTAGGAATACAGCTAACCAGGGAAGTGAAAGATCTCTACAACAAGGATTCCAAAACACTGTGGAAGGAAATCAGAGACAAGACAAACATATAGAAAAACATACCATGCTCCTAGGCGAATTAATGCAGAAACAGAAAACCAAATACTGCACATTCTTACATGTAAGTAAAAACACCATTTGTGATGGACATTTAAGTTGTTTCCATATCTTGGCTATTGTAAGTAATGCTGCAATGGACATGAGAGTGCAGGTATCTCTAGTAGGTGCTGATCTCATTTCTTTTGGATATATACTCAGAAGAGGGATTGCTGGGTCATATTTTTAACTTTTTGAGAAAACTCCATGCTCTTCTCCATAAGGAATGTACCAGTTTACATTTCCACCAGTGTACAAGTGTTTCCTTTTCTACACACCCTTGCCAACACTTCTCTTTGTCTTTTATACAATTGCCAACCTAACAAGTGTGAGGTGATATCTCACTGTGATTTTGACTGGCATTTCCCTGATGATTAGTGATATTGAGCAACTTTTCATATATGTGCTGGCCATCTGTTTGCTCTCTTTGGAGAAATATCTATTCAGGTCCTTTGTCTATTTTTTATTTATTTGGTGATTGAGTTCTATGAGTTCCTTATATTTTGGATAGAAACTCCTTAACAGATATATGGCTTGCAAATATTTTCTCCAAATCCATAGGCTGCCTTTTCATGTTGTTGATTGTTGCCTTTGCTGTGCAGAAGCTATTTGGTTTGATGTGGTCCTTTTTTTTTTTTTTTTTTTGGCGGAGTTTTGCTCTTGTTGCCCAGGCTGGAGTGCAGTGGTGCAATCTTGGCTCACTGCTACCTCCACTTTCCGGGTTCAAGCGATTCTCCTGCTTCAGCCTCCCGAATAGCTAGGATTACAGGCTCCCACCACCATGCCTGGCTAATTTTTTTGTATTTTCAGTAGAGATGGGCCTTCGTCATATTGGCCAGGCTGGTCTCATCCTCCTGACCTCAGGTGATCCACCCGCCTCGGCCTTCCAAAGTGCTGGGATTACAGGTGTGAGCCACCATGCCCAGCTGGTCCCATTTGTTTGTTATTGCTTTTGGTGTCCTATCCCCCTGCACCCCCAACCCCCACCCCACAAAAGTCATTGCCAAGACCAATGTCAAGGAGCCTTTCCCCTTTGTTTTCTTCTTGGAGTTTTATGATTTTGTCTTACACATAAGTATTTAATCCATTTTGAGTTGATTTTTGTGTATTTTGTATATGAGTCCAATTTCATTCTTTTGCATGTGGATATCCAGTTTTCCCAACACCATTTATTGAAGAGACTATCCTTTCCTCATTGTATGTTATTGGGGGCATGGTCAAAAAGTAGTTGACTGTATGTACTTGGGTTTATTTCTGGGCTATCTATTCTGTTCCTGGTCTATGTGTCTATTTTAATGCCAGTCCCATACAGTTTTGATTACTATAACTTTGTAATATAATTTGAAACTAGCTAGTATGATCCCTTCAACTCTGCTTTTCTTCCTCAGGACTGCTGTGTCTATTCTGGTTTTTTGGCAGATCCATACAAATTTGGAGTTTTTTTTCTATTTCTGTGAAAAATGCTATTGGAATTTTGATAGGGACTGCCTTGAATTTGTAGATCACTTTAGGGCAGTATGAACATTTTAACAATATTTATTCTTCCATACCATAAACATGGGATTCCTTTCCATTTATTTGTACCTTCAATTTCTTTTAACAACATTTTATAATTTTCAGTGTATAGATCTTTGCCTCCTTGGTTAAACTTATTGCTGATTTTATTCTTTTTAATATTATCATAAATAGGATTTAAAATTTTTTATTGAATAGGTCATTATTGGTGTACAGAAATGCAACTGATTTTTATTAGTTGATTTTATATCCTACAACTTTACTGAATTCATTTATTAGTTCTAACAGGGTTTTCTTGCAGAGTCTTTAGAGGTTTCTACATATAGGATCATATTATCTGCAAACAGTGATAATTTCATTTCTTCCTTTCCAATTTGAATCTTTTAATTTCTTTTTCTTTCCTGGTTGCTTTTGCTAGTACTTCCAGTACCATGTTGAATGGAAGTGGTGAGAGTGGGAATCCTTGACTTGGACTGGATCTTACAGGAAAAGCTTTCAGTTTTTCTTGATTGAGTATCATGTTAACTGTGGGCTTCTCATAAGTGGCCTTTATGATGTTGAAGAAATTTTCATCTATGCCTTATTTGTTGAGAGTTTTTCTCATGAAAGGATGTTGAGGTTTGTCATCTGCTTTCTCTGGAGCTACTGAGGTGATCATGTGGTTTTCATCTTTCATTCTGTATCACATTGATTTGCATATACTACACCAAACTTACAGCCCAGGGATAAGCTCCACTTGGTTAAGACATATATCCTTTTTGATGTGTTGTTGAATTTGGGTTGGTAGTATTTTACTGAGGAATTTTGCATCTATGTTCATCAGAGATATTAGCCTGTAGTTTTATTTTCTTCTGGTGTCTTTGGCAGAGTAATGCTGGCCTCATAAAATGATTTTGGAAGTATTCTCTCTACTTCTATCTTTGAGAAGAGCTTAAGAAGAAATGCATTAATTCTTTTTTTAATTTTTAGTAGAGTTCAACTGTGAAGCCATTTGGTCCTGAGTCCTGGTCCTGGCTTTTGTTTTTTTTGGGAGGTTTATAGTTACTGCTTCAATCTTTTTATTTGTTATTGGTCTGTTCAGGCTTTCTATTATTTTTTGATTGAATCTGGGTAGGTTGTATGTGTCTAGGAATTTATCTATTTTCTCTAGGTTATCCAATTTGTTGCTATATAGTTGCTCATAATAGTTCCTTATGATACTTTTTATTTCTGACACATCTGCTGAAATACCTCCACTTCATTTCTGATGCTATTTATTTGACTCTTCTCTTTTTTTCTTAGTCTAGTTAAAAGTTTGTCAATTTTGTTTATTTTTTCAAAAAATTAACTCAGTTTTGTCAATTTTTCTAGTTTTTCTATTCTTTGGTTGAGTTGCTCCTGCTTTGATTTTTATTATTTCCTTCCTTTTGATAACTTTATTTCATTCTTTTCCTAGTTATTTGAGGTATAATGTTAGGTTACTTATTAGAGACCTTTTTTCTTAATGTGGGTCTCTTCCTTCCTTCCTTCCTTTTTCTCTTTCTTTCTTTCTTTTTTCTCCCTTTCTCTTTCTCTCCCTCCCCTCCCCTCCCCTCCCCTGCCCTCCCTCTCCTCCCCTCCCCTCCCTCCCTCTCTCCCTCCCTCCCTCCCTCCCTCCCTTCCTTCCTTCCTTCCTTTCCTTCCTTCCCAGGGTCTCACTCCATTGCACAGGCTGGAGTGCAGTGGCACAATCTTGGCTCACTGCAACTTCTACCTCCTTGGTTCAAGCAATTCTCCTGCCTCAGCCTCCCTGAGTAGCTGGGATTACACGTGCGTGCCACCATGCTGGGCTAATTTTTGTACATTTTGGTAGAGATGGGGTTTCACCATGTTGGTGAGGGTGGTCTTGAACTCCTGACCTCAAGTGATGTGCCTACCTTGGCCTCCCAAAGTGCTGGGATTACATGCATGAGCCACTGTGCCCAGCCAATATAGGCATTTATCATTACAAACTTGCCTCTTAGAGCTGCTTTTGCTGTTTCCGGAGGTTCCATTATGTTTGTTTTCATTCTTGTTTGTCTCAAGATATTTTAAATTTCCCTTTTGATTTGTTCTTTGACCCATCAGCTGTTCAAAAGCATGTTATTTAATTTCCATGTATATGTGAAATTTTCCAGTTTTCCTTCTGTAGATTTTTAGTTTCTTACTATTGTGCTCAGAAAAAATACTTGATGTGATTTCAATCATCATAAATGTGTTCATGATCTACTTTTCATTCATATTTTAATTGATGTATAGTAGTTGTACATCTTTTGGGGGTATGTGTGATAATTTGATAAATGTGTATAATGTGTAATGACCAAATCAGGGTAATTAGGATATCTATCACCTCAAACTTTTATCTTTTCTTTGTGTTACACACACTCCAATTATTATAGCTATTTTTAAAAATATACAACAAATTATTGTTAACAGTAGTCTCCCTGCTACCCTATTGAATACTAGAACTTACTCCTTCAACCTAACTGTATTTTTGTACCCATTAACCAACTTCTACCCTCTCCCCACTCTCATTCCCAGCCTCTGGTACACACTAATTTTTATATATGGAGTGACACACGAATCTGATTTTTTACTTATTTTTATACACATATAGATGTCATACCCATTTGTTAAAAGAAAATCCTCTACCATTTGTTGAAAGTATATACATTTTTAAATATTTTTCTTTTTCATGTTTGTCAAATATCTTTTTATCCATATATGCATTGGTTTATTTTTGGACTGTGTATTTTGTTCCTATTTTATCAATCTTTTTTTCTTTTCTTTTCTTTTTTTTTTTTTTTTTTTTTGAGACAGAGCCTCATTCTGTCACTCAGGCTGGAGTGAAGTGGTGTGATCACTTCCTGGGTTCAAGTGATTCTTGTGCCTCAGCCTCCCAAGTAGTTGGAATTACAGGAGTGCATCACCATGCCTGGCTAAGTTTTTGTGCTTTTAGTAGAGACGAGGTTTCACCATGTTGCCCAGGCTGGTCTCGAACTCCTGAGTTCAGGCAATCCACCCACCTCGGCCTCCCAAAGTGCTAGGATTACAGGTGTGAGATCATATCCCAACACCATTCTGTTTTGATTACTATAACTTTATAATAGTTCTTTAAATCAGGTAGAGCTAGTCCTCCAAGTTTGTTCTTCATTTTAGTAGCATTTTGATTATGCTAGTTCATATTAATTTTGGAATCAGCTGATCACTTTCTACCAAAGATGCTCGCTGAGATTTTGAGTGGAATTGCATTGAATTTATAGATCAGATTGGGGAAAAGTAACACCTCAACAATATTAAGTCTCTTGACCCATGAACAAAGAATTTCTCTCTAGTTTTTAGGTATTCATTATGTTCTCTGTGAAACATTTTATAATTTGCAGTCAGATTTATCCCTATGCATTTTATACATTTGACACTATTGTAAGTGGTATTGCTTTTTACATTTCAATTGTGCATTGGAATTACATAAAATAGAATTGATTTTTGTATATTGACGTTGTATCCTGCTAGAAACAAATGCTTTTCAGACTGAAGTTACATTTGGCAGTGACAATATCTTTCGGGGGGGGGTCCTGCGTATTTACCAGGTGAAAAGAATCTTTTTCATTTTACTTGGAGCTTTATCATCAGCCCAAGGAAGAGGAACGTCCCAACCTATATTCAGTTTTCAGGCTGGGCAGAGTGTGTACCTTGTGGACCAATGCATGTGAAATGTTCTGTATGTTCATCAATAGGTTTTCCTTAAGAGTGCTCATGCAGTTGATGAGGCTTCCCATGTGCGTGTCTGTTTATCTGCAATGTTATCCCTTATTTTAAAATTTAGTATTCAATAATGTATCCCAGCATTATGTAGTATCAGAGACTTTGGGATGGTCTTCAATGATATATCTATCAAGTTATCATGAGTTTGTACCTGATCCTGACTAGTCTTATTTCTGATGTGATCTATTATAAAATGAGACCAAAAGCTTTAAAATAACTAATAATGTTGGGCTGAGGGGATTTCTTTGTGGGATACTCAGCCTTAGGAGACAGTAGATCCTATTACACATCTGAAGTAGGAGTCCACTCACTTCAGTATGTGAGCATCAGGACCCTGATTCTGCAGTAGTATCTGCAGTCCCTTGCACTATCAGCTTCATTCCCTCAAGGGAGAATGAATGGCCTTCAGTTTGTTATGTCACAATTGACACGTGTAGCACATTTGAGTATCTCTTTAGTTATTGACCTAGGTTTACATCCAATCATGTTAAGCTTGCTCACCTGGGTGATTCACAAGGTCACATTCCCAGTGGGTCAGTTGACTGTCACAAAAAAACAAAAGCATTCATTTGTCATTATGTAAAACATGGCTCACAAACAGCTTTAAAGGTGGTTTCTCAAATGTTTATCTATAAAGTCTAGTTACTCAAATGAATTTATCTTCTACTCCAGTTTTTTATTTCTCCATGTTCTGCCTCTACGACAGAACCCAAGGGCCAGTATAAACATAGATTTAATTCTGCTGATTTATAACCAATCAACAGTTTCATTATTACATATGATTCTGTACACTGGGTTGTCAGCCTTCTTCTTTCTTTTACCTGTTCCTATTGGATGTTAAGATGATATGGGCTGAAGGTGATGGCTCAAGCTTGTGATTCCAGCATTTTGGGAGGCTGAGGCAGGAGGATCACTGGAGTCTGGGAGTTTGAGATGAGCCTGGACAACACAGTGAGACCTCATCTTCTTTTTTAAAAAAGATGATGTAATGTTATTTGCCACTTTTATTAACATCCCTGGACTACAGTTCTACCATTTCTTTTTTTTGAAAGCATCTCTTATTATCATAAGATGTACTTAAATCTTCATATTTGTGAGCATCATTAATATTATTAATAGATAAAATCTACAATGGTCAATTCTTTGGTTAGGTCAGAGACTAAAATCTGAAAATTAGAAATTCACTATTTCTTTCAGGCGTGTGTGTGCTGTTGTGCTAATCCCTCACCTCTCTCAGAAAAGTCATTGTAGGCCCAAGCCAATAAGTAAACAGTCTGTGAAAGAATGAATGCAAATCCTAGAATAAGTATGTAGTGCCCACTGAGTGGAGGAAAATTTTGCAAAAGTTGTTTTTCTACAGTTGTGCAACTTTCCTCTGAGCCAGCTCATCTGCTGCTTCAAAGGCCCCAAATAATTTTTTTCATCATCTTATGGCCATTGTCATAAACTCCATTCTGCCCCTGCCTATGTCACCTACCATGCAATCTGTTTCACTGCATGGCCTTAGAGGCAGAGACATTTTTCCAGCTTTAAGTGCATTAAGGTTCTCCTGTTTCTGCAAGACAATGGAAGTTAGTGGTTCTCTCTGTTTTTTGGTATTTAAGTCCATCATCAGGGTCAGTTGGGAAATATGTTTTCTCCAGAAGCTGTTAGGTGCTGTTCAGTGCAATAATTTTTCAGTTCTTACACTATAATTGATCCCATCTATGCATTATAGTTCCTAAAATCACTTTCTGAGAAGGCCCTTGATTACTTTTTTAAAATAGCCCAGCCAGCAGCATTATTATATCTTTCCTAGTTCTTAGAAGGAACATCCTCATGCTCCTTCTGGTGATGTTCCTACTAACAACATGTAATCTGTGAAATGGAACAGAGGGAGGAGACCCATGCCAAGATTCTGTGACACTCAGCTCTGACAGTTGGCAGGCAGACACTCTCTGCAGAAGATTCTCCTGAGGCTGTTTGACCAGAATCCTTGGGAGGTTGAAAGCCCAGTCTTGACAGAACCACCATTCACAAGGCCAGGTGTGTGGCTCACGCTGTAATCCCAGCACTGTGGGAGGCCAAGGAGGGAAGAATGCCTGAGCCCAGGAGTTAAGACCAGCCTGGGGAACGTGGCAAGACATCATCTCGAAAAAAAAGAAAATAGAAAAAGAAAAAAACCCCACCATTTATTATCATCTCCCATTTTATCAGAATAAGCCTGTGGGTGTTGGCTGTCAATTTTCTCACTTACAGGCAACCCAAGCTGACCTGGGCACAGAAATCTTAAGCTCTTTTCAGGAAAGAATGCTCTACTCATCCTCTGTATCACTAGTTACGCAGTGTAACCAGCACAGAGCTTTACTCACAAGGGCTCAGGAAATGCATTTGCTGAGCTCAACAAATTGACAATCCAACTTATTTTGATAAGCAGAGATTTTGTAGTTTAGAGAACTGAATAGGGTAAGCAGAGGAACAAAACAGAATGTTATTTTATTTTGTGTCTAAGAGTACAAAAATCATAATCACCAACCTCTTGGGAATCCCAAGGCAGAATTTTAGTCCCAGACCCCCCAACATCCTCACTACATACATGGAAGTTGCTTTACTCCTTTCTACCTTAGTTATTTGACCTATAATTAGAGGATAAAATACAACATTCTAAAATCCTGGTAATATGGCCGATATATAATTTTATTTTTGATGTGGGTGAGAGTCTTGAAGTCTGGAAAGCATTTAACTTATTAAAAGACAGATCATCACTGATCATTATGGCAAGGACAAATTTAGAAGACTTATTAAACTTACCTCGGCGGGGAGGGGCCAAGACTGCCGACTAGAAGCAGCTCTGGTCTGCAGCTGCCAGCGAGAGGAACGAGGAATGTGGGTGATTTCTGCATTTCCAACTGAGATACCCAGTTCATCTCACTGGGACTGACTAGATGGTCGGCATGACCCACAGAGAGCGAGAAGAAGCAGGGTATTGCTTCACCCAGGAACTGCACAGGGCAGGGGGACCTCCCTCCCCAGCCAAGGGAAGTGGTGAGGGACAGTGCTACCCACCAAGGGTACTAAGCTTTTCCCACAGATTTTTGCAATCCACAGATCAGCAGATCCCCTCGGGAGCCTACAACCACCAGTGCCCTGGGTCTCAAATACAAAACTGGGCAGACCAATGACAGCTGCTCCCGTCGGCGGCTGTTTGGGCAGGCACTGAGCTGCAGGAATTTTTACATACTCCGGCAGCACCTGGAACTCCAGTGAGGCAGGAGAAATGTCCACTTCTGTGGAAAGGGGGCTGTAGCCAGGGAGCCAAGTGGTCTCGCTCAGAGGGTCCCACTCCCACGGAAACCCCGCAAGCTAAGAACCACTGGCTTGAAATCCCCGCTGCCGGCACAGCAGTCTGGAGTCCGCCTGGGACAACTCAGTTCCCAGGGGGAGGGGCGACCGTCATTACTGAGGCTTTAGTTGGAGGTTTTCCCCTGACAGTGCTAAGGAGACTAGGAGGTTTGGACTGGGTGGAATTCCCCACAACGCAGCAAAGTGGCTGTTGCAGATCGTGGCCAGACTGCTTCCTAGGTGGGACCCGAAGCCATCCCTCCTCACCTGGAGGGCATCCCTGCAGGAATTCCAGTAGCTACAGTCAGGGGCTTACAGACAAGAACTCTAATCTCCCTGGGACAGAGCACCTCGGGGGAGCGGCGGCCATGGTCCGAGGTTCAGCAGACTTAATCTTTCCTGCCTGCTGGCTCTGAAGAGACCAGCTGATCCCAAGGAGGGTTATTCCTCCAATACAGTGCACCAGCTCTGCTAAGGGACAGTCAGTCTGCCTCCGTAAGGAGGCCCCCCTTCCAGTCCCGTGCTTCTTGACTGGGTGAGACTTCCCATCAGGGGTCGCCAGACACCTCATGCAGGAGAGTTCCGGCTGACATCAATCAGGTTGATGCCACTGTGGGAAGAAGCTTCTGGAGGAAGGAGCAAGCAGCAATCTTTGCTGTTCTGCAAACTCCACTGGTGATACCCAGGCGAACAGGGTCTGGAGTGGACCCCCAGCAAGCCGCAGCAGACCTGCAGAAGAGAGGCCTGACTGTTAGAAGAAAAACCAACAGAAAGTAACAACAACAACAACATCAACACAAAAGACCCCACAAAAACCACATCCAAAGGTCAACAGCTTCAAAGATCACAGGTAGACAAAACCATGAAGATGAGGAAAAACCAATGCGAAAACACTGAAAATTTCAAAAGCCAGAATGCCTCTTTTGTTCCAAACGATCTCAACACTTCTCCAGTAAGGGCACAGAACAGGGCTGAAGCTGAGACTGATGAACTGACAGAAGCAGGTTTCTGAAAGTGGGTAATAATGAATTTCACTGAGCCAAAGGATTATGTTCTAACCCAACGCAAGAAGCTAAGAAGCATGATAAAAGATTACAGGAGGTATTAGCTAAAATAACCAGTTTAGAAAGGAACATAAATGACCTGATGAAGCTGAAAAACACAGCACAAGAACTTTATGATGCAAACACAAGCATCTGTAGCCAAAACAACCAAGTGGAAGAGAAGATATCAGACCTTGAAGACTATCTTGCTGAAATAAGGCAGGCAGACAAAATTAGAGAAAAAAGAACGAAAAGGAACAAACAAAACCTATGAGAACTATGGGAGTATGTAAAAAGATGGAACCTATGACTGATTGGAGTACCTGAAAGAGTTGGGGAGAATGGAACCGAGTTGGAAAACGCACTTCAGTATATCATCCAGGAGAACTTCCCCAACCTAACAAGACAAGCCAATATTCAAATCAGGGAAATCCAGAGAACCCCAGTAAGATACTCCACAAAAAGATCTACCCCAAGGCACATAATCATCAGGTTCTCCAAGGTTGAAATGAAGGAAAAAATGTTAACGGCAGCCAGAAAGAAAGGCCAGGTCACGTACAAAGGGAAGCCCATCAGACTAACAGCGGACCTCTCAGCAGAAACTCTACCAGCCAGACAAGATTGGGGTCCAATATTCAAGATTCTTAAAGAAAAGAAATGCCAACCCAGAATTTCATATCAGACCAAACAAATCTTCATAAGCAAAGGAGAAATAAAATCTTTTTCAGACAAGAAAATGCCGAGGGATTTCATCACCACCAGGCCTGCCTTGCAAGAGCTCCTGAAGGAAGTACTAAACATGGATAGCAAAATCACACACAAAAACACACTGAAGTACACAGATCAGTGACATTATGAAACAACTACATTAACAAGTCTGCAAAATTAACCAGCCAGTATCATGATGACAGGTTCAAATTCACACATAACAATATTAACCTTAAGTGTAAATGAGCTAAATGCCCCCAATTAAAAGACACAGAATGGCAAGTTGGATACAAAGACAAGACTCATCGGTATGCTGTATTCAAGAGACATATCTCATGTGCAAAGATGAACACAGACTCAAAGTTAAGGGATGGAGGAAAATTTACCAAGCAAATGGAAAGCAGAAAAAAAAAACAGGGGTTGCAATCCTAGTTTCTGACAGAAAAAACTTTAAACCAACAAAGGTCAAAAAAGACAAAGAAGGGCATTACATAATGGTAAATGGATCTATTCAACAGGAAGAGCTAACTATCCTAAATATACATGCACCCAATACAGGAGCACCCAGATTCATAAAACAAGTTCTTAAAGACCTACAAAGAGACTTAGACCCCCACACAATAATAGTGGGAAACTTTAATACCCCACTGTCAATATTACACAGATCATTGAGACAGAACATTTACAAATATATTCAAGACTTGAACTCAGCTCTAGACCAAGTGGACCTGATAGATATCTACAGAACTCTCCACCCAAAACAACAGAATATACATTTTTTTTGGTGTCACATGGCACTTAATCGAAAATTGATCACATAATTGGAAGTAAAACACTCCTCATCAAATGCAAAAAGAACTGAAATAATAACAAACAGTCTCTAAGACCACAGTGCAATCAAATTAGAACTCAAGATTAAGAAGCCCACTCAAAACCACACGACTACATGGAAATTGAACAACATGCTCCTGAATGACTCCTGGGTATATAATGAAATTAAGCCAGAAATCAGGAAGTTCTTTGAAACCAATGGGAACAAAGAGACAACGTACCAGAATCTCTGGGGTGCAGCAAAAGCAGTGTTAAGAGAGACATTTATAGCACTAAATGCCCACATCAAAAAGCTAGAAAGATCTCAAATTGACAGCCTAACAGTACAACTAAAAGAACTAGAGAACCAAGAGCAAACAAACCGCAGAGCTAGCAGAAGACAAGAAATAATGAAGCTCGGATCTAATTAAACTAAAGAGCTTCTGCACAGCAAAAGAAACTACCGTCAGAGTGAACAGGCAACCTCCAAAATGGGAGAAAATTTTTGCAACCTACTCATCTGACAAAGGGCTAATATCCAGAATCCACAATGAACTCAAACAAATTTACAAGAAAAAAACAAACAACACTGTCAAAAAGTGGGCGAAGGACATGAACAGACACTTCTCAAAAGAAGACATTTATGCAGCCAAAAAACACATGAAAAAATGCTCACCATCACTGGCCATCAGAGAAGTTCAATCAAAACCACAATGAGATACCATCTCACACCAGTTAGAATGGCAATCATTAAAAAGTCAGGAAACAACAGGTGTTGGAGAGGATGTGGAGAAATAGGAACACTTTTACACTGTTGGTGGGACTGTAAACTAGTTCAACCCTTGTGGAAGTCAGTGTGGCGATTCCTCAGGGATCTAGAACTAGAAATACCATTTGACCCAGCCATGCCATTACTGGGTATATACCCAAAGGACTATAAATCATGCTGCTATAAAGACGCTTGCACACATATGTTTACTGCAGCACTATTCACAATAGCAAAGACTTGGAACCAACCCAAATGTCCAACAATGATAGACTGGATTAAGAAAATGTGGCAGATATACACCATGGAATACTATGCAGCCATAAAAAAGGATGAGTTCATGTCCTTTGTAGGGACATGGATGAAATTGGAAATCATCATTCTCAGTAAACTATCACAAGAACAAAAAACCAAACATTGCATATTCTCACTCATAGGTGGGAATTGAACAATTAGAACACATGGACACAGGAAGGTGAACATCACACTCTGGGGACTGTTGTGGGGTGGGGGAAGGGGGGAGGGATAGTTTTAGCAGATATACCTAATGCTAAATGACGAGTTAATGGGTGCAGCACACCAGCATGGCACATGTATACATATGTAACTAACCTGCACATTGTGCACATGTACCCTCAAACTTAAAGTATAATAATAATTTAAAAAAAAAAGAAAAGAAATAATGAAGCTCAAAGTGAAACTGAAGGAGATAGAAACATGAAAAACCCTTCAAAAAATCAACAAATCTAGGAGCTGGTTTTTTGGAAAAAAAAAAAAGGCAATAAAATAGACCACTAGCAAGACTAATAAAGATGAAAAGAGAGAAAATTCAAATAAACACAATCAGAAATG
This sequence comes from Homo sapiens, assembly GCF_000001405.40. Classification (NCBI taxonomy): domain Eukaryota; kingdom Metazoa; phylum Chordata; class Mammalia; order Primates; family Hominidae; genus Homo; species Homo sapiens. The sequence goes on from NW_017852928.1 coordinate 278,256, forward strand.
ATATGGGGGATTCATGTACCTCAGCCTCCCAAGTAGCTGTGACTACAGGCATGCACTACCATGCCTGGCTGATTTTTTACCTTGTTGACCAGACTGGTCTTGAACTCCTGACCTCAAGTGATCTGCCTGCCCAGCCTCCCAAATTGCTGGGACTACATGTGTGAGCCACCATACCTGGCCTGTTTCATTAGTTTCTACTCCTATCTTTACTATTTCATCCTCCTTTCTTTCTGTTTATTTTCCTGTTTAGTTTCCTGGGTTTGAAGTTTAGGTCATGGGTTGGCAAACTTTGGCCTGAGGGCCAAATCTGACCTGCCACCTATTTCTGTAAATTGAATTTAATTGTAACACAGCCACTTCCATTTGTTTTTGTATTGTCTATGGCTACAAGGGCAGAGTTGAGTAACTGCGAGAGATCACATGGCCTGCGGAGCCTAAAATATTTATTATCTGGACAGTAACAGAAAAAGGTTGCCAATCCCTGTCTTAAATAATTGACTTTTTTTTTCTTTTCTAGTATATTAATTTAAAGTTTTAATTTCCCTCTAAGTTCTGCTTTCCCTACACTCAATAAATTTTGATATGTAATGTTTTCATTATTGTTTATTTCAAAATGTCCAGTTTCCATTGTGATTTCTTCTTCACCCATCAGTTATGTAGAAATATATTGCTGAATTTACAAACATTTGGGGATTTTTCCAATTACCTTCCTGACGGTGAACTCCTGTTTTAATTGCACTGCCATCAGAATGTGCTTTGTATGATTTCTGTTCTTTCAAATAAATGGATTTTGAAGTTGTATTTTGTGTTCTATATATGTGTTCTATAAGATCAATTAGTTAAATGTGTTATTCAAATGTTTTAGATTCCTATTAATTTTTTTGTCTGCTTGTCTTACTGGCTACTGAAAAAGGTATGTTTAAATCTCTAACCATGATTGTGGATTTCCCTATTACTCCTCTACGTTTGCCACTTTAGCATTATGTATTTTGAAGCTATATTATTATGTGCACATAAATTTAGGATTGACCCTTTTATTATTATAAGATGTCCTTCCTTATTGCTAGTAATAAGGAAGAAAGTCACTGCTTCAAGTTATGGGAGAACAAACAATGGGAGAGCAAACAATGCAAGAAAAACAAAGAGAGAGAAGAAAAGTACATTGACATAAGAACTTCATTCACCCTGTTTTTTTTTCTTAGATATTTAACAAATTTCAGCTTAGGTGAATAGGGTCCAAGTTACAGGACAGATGGTAAATATTTTAGAAAGAAAACAAAGATGTTATTAAACTGAGGAGACAGCAAATTTCATAGCCTCTCCTATGAAGTATTTTTGCCCAGATTTTTTTACTAGAATCTGACCATGTCTTTAGAACTGTAGAAAATACAGGTGATGGAGGAACAAGTTAAACAATACCATTAAGAAACAATCAAACAAATCATGATTGTGGAATATTCTACAAGACAGTTGAGCTGGGTTCTTCAAAAAGTCATTGTTGTGGAAAAAACAGTGTTGGTGGTGGACTGTTACTAGTCTTGATTAAGAGAATAAACATAGTAAGGGCAATGGGTAAATTTATTTGGATATTAGTTTGAAAAAATCTGTAAATGGCATTTTGGGGACAATTGGGAAAATTTGAATATAGAATAAGTATTGATGGTATAGAGGTTATTTGTTTGTTTGTTTATTTATTTATTTATTTATTTTTAAAGAGACAGGGCTTTGCTATGTTGCCCAGGCTGGCTTCAAACTCCGGAGCTCAAGTGATCCTCCTGCCTTAGCATCTCAAGTAATAGAGAATTATTTTTAAATTTCTAAAATATAATTATGGCATTGTGGTTATGTAAGCTAATCTCCTTGTTTTTAGGATATGTCCAAGTACTTTATGGTTAAGTGTCATCATATCTGTAACTTACTTTCAAATGGCTCAGATAGACACACACACATTTATATATATGTTTAAGTAGAATGGAGAGAGACAAAATGTAATTATGGCAAAATGTTAAATTTTATAGGTGGTGAATATATAAATATTCATTGTGCCATCCTTTTTAGAGTTTACAGTTTTCATAATAAGTTGGGAGAAAATCAATGGGCAAAGTAAGTTCAACATTAGAAAAAAGTAAGAAAGTTTCCAATTTAATTACAAAACTATAAAAACTGGAGGGGATGTTACTAGTTTCTGATTAAAAAAACAAAAAGACGCATATAGCAATAGAACATTTTCCAAGAAATTCCATGGCAAGTAAATATTTTCTAAATTTTCAAGGGATCTTCTCTACATTTTAAAGGAGTTATTTAATTTCTTGTAGGGGTGGGTGGGAGGGGGGAACAGAATGTTTAGACTAAAACAGTGAAAGACTTACTTTTCAATTGTCTATTGATTTCACTCTATTTAGCTACATCAACTTTGGGAATATAATATAAAGATTAGAGAGAAAAATGCTAGCAAAATATAAAGATTAGAAAGAAAAATACTAGCTATTGTAATTTGAGAATTTAAGGTAGCCAGGTACTGTGCAATGTGCCAAACACATGGGGTTCGGGTGAGCAAACAGAGACCCTGCTGTTATAGAATTGATAGTCTAGTAGGGAAGACAGAAATTAATTAAACATTTATACAAATATATAGTTATAAACTGCGATTATAGCTACAGAGGAAAAATAGGGTTCTCTGAGGGCCATTAATAGGGGAAATGAGGAAGTTCTGGAAAGAGTTTCTTAAAAAATATATGAACAGAGAAAAATACTGAACTGAGAGCTGAAGACTGAGGTGGAGTTAAATGAGCAAAGAACAGGGAATGACTTTCATGCAAAGGGGAAAGCATGTGTAATGAGCCTGAAGAAGGAAGAAGAATGGGACACTTTGAGAAACTGAAAAGTAGCTTGTATGGCTGGAGTACAGAAAGCAAGAGTGGTACAGGTGAGTTGGGAGGAGGAAACAGAGGTCAGATGATACTGTCTTTAAGCATAATGGGAAATTACTGAAGAAGGAAAGTATCAGATTTGCATTGTTGGAAGTTTACTCTGGTTAAAGGATAGAGAAAAAAATGGAAAGAGGAGGGTAATCACAACAGTCTAGGCAAGAGATGATGGTAGTTTGGAGACAGAAGGTGTGGCAGTGGACATGAAGATAAGTGGATGGATTTGAGAGAAACTTGGAGAGTGAAACTGGTAGGTGATGGTTTAGATGTGTAAGATGAAGGAGAGGGAAATGTCATGGATACATTCCAGGTTTTCAGTTTCAGAAGCTATATGAATGGTGCAGCCATTCCCTGAAAAGTGAAACATGGAATGAGAAACATATTTTTTTTTGTTTCTGAATTTGAGATGTTCTTAAGACATGAGAGGTTGAATGAAGGTATCTGTGTATGCCTAGAGAATTTTTAAAATTGTAACTCCACAATAATTATAAGTAGATTTCACCATTAGTGGACTGACTTTGTTCCTAAAAGGAATGAAAATTAAATAGTGATGATCATCACATAGTTCCATGAGAGCCTCCGACTATAAAGTGTAATTAACCAGAGATTTTCCCTTGGGGATCCTTGTGAAGTAATTTAATTAATTTTATTTTATTATCTGTTTTAGCAAGTTTTAGCTTACTATTTAAAAGAAAGCTAAAATATCAAATTAATTGGACTTTTCCCTTTCCTTGAATTCTCTAGCCATGATATGAGTCCCACAGCTAAATATGATCAGCTTATTTTCTTAAATTTATAAAAGGAGTGGAGTGACAGGATTTTCCAGAGGCATGACTCCATATTTCATAAAGTTTCTTACTTCAGTGTGTTGTAAACTGTGTGGTTTATGAATCAGCAAAACCGCTCTTGGGGAATATTTTACAAACGAAATCTTGAGGCCGGGCATGGTGGCTCACGCCTGTAATCTCGGCACTTTGGAAGGCTGAGGTGGGCGGATTACCTGAGGTCGGGAGTTCAAGACCAGCCTGACCAACATGGAGAAACCCCATCTCTACTAAAAATACAAAATTAGCCAGGCATGGTGGCACACGCCTGTAATCTCAGCTACTCAGGAGGCTGAGGCAGGAGAATCGCTTGAACCCAGGAGGCAGAGGTTGCGGTGAGCCGAGATTGTGCCACTGCACTCCAGCCTGGGCAACCAGAGTGAAACTCCGTCTCAAAAATAAAAAGCAGAAATGAAATCTTGAACCGTCATTATCTGGACACTTGTTTATAAACATGAAAATGTCTTGGCTTTTTCCTTAATTTGCAAAAGGTCTGTATGAAAAGATGCTATATCCATTTTCCCAAGAGGTAAACTTACAAATTAAATATTGAATTTTAAGTAAACAAGAAACAGTTTATTAATTTATTGGTGAATTAAAATCTTCAACATTCATAAAATCTATTTATATTTCTCCAAATTTTAATGAACAGTCATAGAAATTTGCATTTAAGTGGATTAGAATGCAATTTATAATACAGAATATAACCTAAGTATATAATTAACCTAGTATTTCATATTAAACAGTTGGAATATTTTGAAGTTTTCCTGAATTCTCTACTTTGTATTTTAAAAAGCTAACATTTTAGTGCTTTATGTGCATTTTAAATTTATTTTTATTTTTTCACCTCTCCTTGCCATATGCGAACATTTAAAATGTTTGAAAGCACTAATAGAAAACTCACGCATTTAAAACTATAATTCATAGCAAAACAGTCAAGTTTGGGCTCCTTTTCTTTCTCTAAAATAGACAAAACAAAATAGAAAGTCCTAAACAGAATTTCATGGCATCAGAATACCTCAGTCTCCTACCAGTGTTGTCAATGGAATAATGGTGACCTCTTATTCCTTTTCTGAGCACTCTTATTTAGAGATACAGACATTTTTAGCTACGCTTGCTTTTTTTTTAATATTTAAACATTACACGAAATCACCAACGTGACCAAAGTAATTCAGAAAAATGTGTGAGCTCTTATACTTAAATCTGTGTTAAAAAAGACTGAGTTTTTCTTTTTTTCTCTATGTACTTTATACTTTACTTTCAAGCTCCGATCTACTAGAACAAAGGCTGACTGGAACTTCCCTTTACAGTCTTAAACTTACATGAAGGATGAATAGTATTCTCATCCATCCCTACTTTTTTTGCCTCTATCTTTTCAATTTATGTTGAAAGAGACTAGGCCAAAGATATTTTAAGATGTCTATGTATAGCTACATTATAAAGATTAGATGGGTTCTAAAATTGTGATTTAATAAATGTAACTATAATTATATAATTTATAATATACCAAACAACTAGTAATACATTAGATCAGTCCATTTTTCCAGTTTTTCAGGACACAGATATTTCTGCCATTTTATAAATTAAAGATTTTGAGTTACTTTAATATTTGGGGTTGTAACATACTTCTCAAGGTTATTAAAATGTAGTTAAAATCTGCTCTCACTGTAAAGTGTTAAAATTCAGAAGAATATTTGATACCATTTTTTCCCTCTTGTTAAATGCCATGTTTGAATTTGCTGTGAAATTAGAGAAATTTAATTTTCTCAGGTTGGGATAGGGTACTTAATAAATGATTAATGATGGGATTAAGTTGTTAAATTTTCTAAAAATTGAAATGAATATAAATGCACAATTAACATAAATTTGAGTAACCAAAGTCAATTTTTAGTTAGATTCTCCCTTTTTTTCTTAATAGGATTACTAGAAAGATTTGAAACTTAAATATAATCAACTCCTAAAGTTCACATAAATGTGACTAATATAAAGCACATCTTGATAAATTAGTATGTGTTATCATGCCTCATAATTAACAAGGAATTAGAAATTAAATTTGTTTATACGAACTTCTAAAATATAGAGGAAAAATAAACGGCAACTGGATCCCTTAATAGCCCTATAGATAATAAAAATCAGAGATTGATTTAAAATAAATGCATACCAAAAAATACTTTGAATGCTTCAGATCTACTTTAAAGTATTTTGCTATTTATTTTTTCTCTTTATTTTAGAACAAAATTTATGAATAGAAATGTGGCATATAAATTGGAACTGTTATGATGTGTGTTTCATATTTCTGGATTTGGAGACATGTTCTAATTTTAATCTGTATGTATCTTCCCTTTAGTTATTATTTATTTTTATTTTTCTTTTATTAATAGAGATAGAAGTATTTCTGCACCCAATCCAATTAACTGGAAAAAGGTCATATAAGAACATGAAAAGTCTAATCCCAGTATGGCCAAAATAGGTTTGCCAACATGGGCTAGGCCGGTAAGGAGGGAAGAGACAGGGACAGGGCAGAGGCTCCTCAGGAGGCCTTCCCTCTTTAGACCTCTTTTGGGGGTCGCCGGGGTCCTGACCCCCAGGTGCAGGTCGTCCTGGGAGGAAGGGTGGCACCAGAGTACTGGATGCTGGCATAAGAGCGAGTCTGAGCAGCTCACTCCATGCCACATCTCCCGCAGCAGTGACTTCCGGCAGGAACTGAGTCTGTACCGCGAGAATCTTAAACACCCGCGAGTGCCCTTTCAAGCCTGCTGGGGAATGCGCTCCCTTTCCCCAAACGTCCCTTGGTTCCCCCGTCGACCTACCCGTCCGAGGGTCCTGGGTACCCAACGCCGCCACGTCTGGCACCTCAACTCACATCTGGCGTCTCAACTGTCGCGTGGCGCCTCGGCCAGAGGTCCCACAAGGTGGCGCAGCCTTTCCGTGGCGCCCAAGAGCCCGCAGGCGCGGGTGGCTTGGCCCGCGTGGGCTCCGAACTGCGGCGGCTCCGCTAGACAGTTGCAGAAGCTGGCGGACGGCCGGGACCCCCTGCCTTGCGCAGCCAGGCGTCGAGGAGGCGGCGGCGAGTGCTGCGGTGCTGGCTGGGTGGCCGAGTGGTCCCCGCAGCCTCTGGACCCAGCCATGCTGCTCTGGATGCAGGGCTTCGTGCTGGAGGCGGTGGCCTGCCAGGATAACGATGACTACTTACGCTACGGGATCCTCTTCGAAGACCTGGATTGCAATGGGGACGGCGTGGTGGACATCATTGAGCTCCAGGAGGGGCTGAGAAACTGGAGCTCCGCGTTTGACCCCAACTCCGAGGAGGTGAGACCGGAAGGTGGCACAGGCAGCCTGGGGAGACGTTGGGCAGAGGGAGAAGCAAACCCTGCCCTTTCCAGAGCTGCTTTCAAAGGCCTTTGGAGTAAGGGTGGGGTTCTCCTCTGTGAGCCTCGTCACGCAGAATAATGCGACCCAACGAAACATGTTCTCAATCTTCTTAAAATAGCCACTTTCCGGCCGGGCGCGGTGTCTCACGCCTGTAATCTCAGCACTTTGGGAGGCCCAGGCGGGTGGATCGCCTGAGGTCAGGCATTCGAGACCAGCCTGGCCAACATGGTGAAACCCCCGTCTCTACTAAACAAATACAAAAATTAGCCGAGCGTGGTGGCGCGCGCCTGTAATCCCAGCTACTCCGGAGGCTGAGGCAGGAAAATCGCTTGAACCCGGAAGGCGGAAGTTGCAGTGAGCCGAGATAGCACCATTGCGCTCCAGCCCAGGCGACAGAGCGAGATTCCATCTCAAAAAAAAAAAAAAAAAAAAAAAAAAGCCACTTTCCGTAGTGACAAAGACCTTCAGGGGGCTTTTGGGGAGATGCTGTTTCTGGTGACTCGTTCAAAATTTATGGAACCAGCACACAACGTCAGGCGCCATGTTAGCCTTTGTGCAGAAGTAAAGGAACATCTCTTTTCTTAGGGGTTTCTCTGCCCAGGGCAGTGTGCTTCAGGGTCGTCTCCAAACGACAGGCACAGATAAGAGCCCCAGAGCTATTCTCTTTCTGACATCCACACCAAGGTCTAGGGGAAGTCAGACTTTGATCCATGGGTGTACACTTCAGCTGATTGTTTTAGAACCTCATCTAAATTAGGAATACCTTCCTTCTCTAGGCCAGTCTTGACTTGATTATTTTTAAACTATTTAGATGGAAGTTTCAGAATATCAAGAGAAAAAAATTATTTTATTTATTTTCTGTCAATGCTTAGCAGTCTTCAGATATAACTCCTATTGAATTTTAGGAGTTAGGTCTGAAGACTGTAAAGCTCTTTATTGGTGAGATTTTTTTTTTTTTGGTTGTTGCTAGAAGTCCAAACCATCTGGACTCCTCTTTAGTGATGCTGGGCATCTTTACATGTGCTTAGTAGCCATTTGTATAACTTCTTTGGAGAAATGTCCAAGTTCTTTGTTCATTTTCAAATTAGGTTTTTTTTTGTTGTTGATTTTTAGGAGTTTTCTGTATAGTTTGTATATGAACCCCTTATTATATATATGATTTGCAAATGTTTACTTCCGTTTTATGAGTCTCCTTTTTACTTTTGATGCACAAAGTTTTAAATTTTCATGAAGTCCAATTTGTCGTGTTTTGGTTGCCTGTACCTTTGATGTCATGTCTAAGAAATCAATGCCAAATCCATTGTCGAGAAGATTTTGCCCTGTGTCGTCTTCTCTAAAGTTTCATAATTTTAAGAGTTACATGTAGGTCATAGATCCTTTTTGAATTAATTTTTAATAGGGTGTTAATTAAGGGTCCAATGTCATTCTTTTGCATGCAGATATTCAGTTTTCCCAGCTTCATTTGTTGAAAAAACTGTCTTTTCCCTATTGAATGGTCTTTGCACTGTTGTCAAAAATTATTTGAGCACATATGCCTAAGTGTTTATTTCTTGGCTCTCTATTCTATTCCACTGGTGTATATTTCTGTCTTTATGTTAGTAGCACACTGTTTTAATCACTCTTGTTTTGCAGTAAGTTTTGAAATCAAGAAGTGAGTCCTCCTGCTTTGTTCTTCTTTTTCAGAATTGTTTTGGCTATTTGGGGTCCCTTGAGATTCCATGTGAATTTTAGTATGGGTTTTTCTACTTCTGCAAATTCATCATTGGGATTTTGGTAGGGATTGCACTGAATCTGTAAATTGTTTTGGGTAGTATAGACATCTTAACAATATTAAGTCTTCCAGCCCATGAACGTGGGACATCTTTCCATTTATTTATGTTTTCTTTAATTTGTTTCAGAAATGTGTTATAGTTTTCATTGCATAAGTCTTTTACCTTCTTGGTTAGGTTAATTCCTAAGTGCTTTATTCTTTTGATGCTTTAATGGCATTGTTTCCTTAATTTCCTTTTCGGATTAATTATTGTTAGCATATAGGTATAGAAATGCAACTGATTTTTTTGTGTTGACTTTGCATCTTGCCACTTTGCTGAATTTGTTTATTCTAACATTTTGTGTGTGTGTGGGGGGGGTGGGTCTTTAGGATTTTCTAAATATAAAGTCATATCATCTGAAAAAGGGATAATTTTACTTCTTGCTTTCCAAATTGGATGGCTTTTATTTCTTTTTCTAACCTAATTGCTCTGATTAGAACTTCCAGTACTACGTTGAATGAAGTGATGAAAGTGGGCATACTTGCCTATTTCTAATCTTAGAGAAAAAAGCTTTTAGTCTTTCACTATTGTGTATGATGTTCATTGTAGGTTTTTCACATACGATTTTTATCATATTGAGGATAGTTTTCTTGTATTCCTAGTTTGTTGAGTGCTTTTATCATGAAAGGTTGTTGACTTTTGTCAAATGCTTTTACTGCATCAATTGCGATGTTTGTGTTTTTTGCCATCATTCTGTTAATGTTATGTATTACACTGATTGATTTTTTAAAATGTTGAACCCTCCTTGTATTCCAGGAATAAATATCACTTGAGGATGGTGTATAACCTTTTTAACCTAATAAATTCAGTTTGCTATCATTTTTTTGGAGGATTCTTGTATTAGTGTTCATGAGAGACATTGGTCTGTAATTTTCTTTTCTTGTAGTGTCTTTGTATGGCTTTGGTATTGGGCCTCATAGGCCTCATAGGGTATATACTGGCCTCATAGGATGAATCAAATTTTAAAAGTTTATTTGGAAATGTTTGAGAAGTAGTGGGGTTAGTTTTTAAATCATAGAATTTAGCAGTGAAGCTATCAGATCCTGGGCTTTTCTTTTTTTTTTTTTAATTGGGAGATTCTTGATTACTGATTCAACCTCCTCATTAGTTATAGACTATTCAGATTTTCTATTTCTTCATAATTTAGTCTTGGTAGGTTTTGTGTTTCTAGGAATTTTCTATTTCATCCAGGGTAACCAATTTGTTGGCATATAGTGTATTGTACTCTCTTATAATCGTTTTTATATCCATAGAATCAGTAGTTATGTCCCCACTTTCATTTCTGATGTTAGTAATTTGACTCTTGTTTCTTTCTTTTTTCTTAGTCCATCCACCTAAAGGTTTGCCGATTTTGTTGATCTTTTTGAGGAACTAACTTATGATTTAGTTGTTTTTCTCTATTATATTTCTTTTCTCATTTCATCTATATCTGTTCTAATCTTTATTTTTTCTGCCTGCTAGTTTTGGATTTAATTTGCTCTTTTTTTTTAGTTCCTTAAGTTGTAAAGTTAGGTTGCTGATTTGAGATCTTTATTCTTTTTTTTGTTGTTTTTAAATGTAAGCATTTATCTCTGTAAACTTCTCTCTTAGTACAGCTTTTTGCCATATCTCGTAAGTTTTGGTATCTTGTACTTTTGATTTCATTTGTCTAAAGATATTTTCTAATTTTTCTTATTTTTTCTTTGACCCATAGTTTTTCAAGAGTGTGTTATTTAATTTCTACCCATTTATGAACTTTCCAGTTTTAATTTTGTCATTGATTTCCGGTTTCATCCACTGTGGTAAGAAAAGATACTTGGCATGATTTCAGTCTTTTAAAATTTATTAAGACTTGTTTTGTGACCTAGAGTATGATCTTTTCTGGAGAATGTCCTCTGTGTTACTGAGAAGAGTGTGTATTTTTTTCCTGTTGTATAGTATATTCTGTATATGCCTGTTAGATCTAGATGGTTTATGGTGTTCAAATTCTCTGTTTCCTTACTTATCTTCTGTTTGGTTATTCTATTCATTATTCAGTTTGGGGTATTGAATTCTTCAACTAATATTGTAGAACTAACTATTTCTCCCTTCTATTCTTCCAATTTTTGCTTTATATGTTTTGATGGCCTGTTATATGCAAAAAATATTTGTAATTATTGTATCTTCTTGATGTATTGAAACTTTTATCATTATATAATGTCCTTTATCTCATTTTTTTTTTTTTAGTTTAAAGTCTGTTTTATCTCATATTAGTATAGCTATCAGTGGTCTCTTTTGGTTACCATTTGCATGGAATTTTTTTTCATTCTTTTACTTTCAATGTATTTGTGTCTTTGGCTCTTAAGTGAGTTTCTTATAAACAGCAGATAGTTGGACCATTTTCTCATTTTTCTGCTAATCTCTATCTTTTGGTTGGAGAGTTTAATCCACTTAGGTTTAAAGTAATTAGTGATGCATCAGAGGGAAAGTGGTGGATAGTGGTGTGACCTCGACTCACTGCAACCTCCACCTCGCGGGTTCAAGTGATTCTCCTGCCTCTGCCTCCTGAGTAGCTGGGATGACAGGCGTGTGCCACCACACCAGGTAATTTTTGTATTTTTAGTAGAGACAGGGTTTCACAATGTTGGCCAGGCTGGTCTTGCACTCCTTACCTCAAGTGATCTGCCTGCTTCAGCCTCCCAAAGTGCTAGGATTATAGGGGTGAGCCACCACGCCTGGCCTTTCATTTATTTCTGCTTTGATTTTTAATATTTCTTTTTTTTTCTTTGCTAACTTTTCACTTAGTTTGTTCTTTTTCTAGTTCCTTTAGGTGTAACATTAGGTTAATTATTTGAGATGTTTCTTCTTTTTTTATCTAGGGATTTATTGCTGTAAATTTCACTTTTAGAACTGCTTTTGCTGTATCCCACAAGTTTTGGTATGTTGTATTTCCATTTTAGTTTGTTTCAAGATATTTTTAAAATTTTCCTTTTAATTTCTTCATTGACTCGTTTGTTGTTTAGGGCCTGTTCAGTTTCTATGGATCTGTGAATTTTCCAAAATTCCTGTTGCTATTTATTTCTGGTTTAATGGCATTTTGGTCAGAAGAGATTTGATACTATTTCAGTCTTCTTACATTTGCTGAGGCTTGTTTTGTGCCCTAACATGATCTGTCTTGGAAAATGTTCTGTGTGCCCTTGAGAAGTATGTGTATTCTGTTTCTGTTGGATGAAAGGTTTCATATTTGTCTGTTAGGTTCATTTGGTTGAAAATGTTGGTCAAGTCCAATCTTTCCTTACTAATTTTCTTTCTAGATTAGATATCCATTGTTGAAACTGGGGTATTGAAGCTCCTGAGTATTATCATATTGCAATATCTCTCCCTCCAGATCCTATAATTTATAAATCATGGTCTAGTGTTGGGTGAGTACATATTTATAGCTGTTCTGTTCTCTTGATGAATTGAGTCCTGTGTCATTATATAATGTGTTACTTTGTCTCTTTTTACAATTTTTGACTTAAAATCTATTTTGTCTTAAATAAGTTTAGCTATCCCTGCTCTCTTGTTTTCCAAAATAGTTTCAATTATATGTGTCCTTAAAAGTAAGAAGAGTCGGCCGGGCGCGGTGGCTCACGCCTGTAATCCCAGCACTTTGGGAGGCCGAGGCGGGCGGATCACGAGGTCAGGAGATCGAGACCATCCCGGCTAAAACGGTGAAACCCCGTCTCTACTAAAAATACAAAAAATTAGCCGGGCGTAGTGGCGGGCGCCTGTAGTCCCAGCTACTCGGGAGGCTGAGGCAGGAGAATGGCGTGAACCCGGGAGGCGGAGCTTGCAGTGAGCCGAGATCCCGCCACTGCACTCCAGCCTGGGCGACAGAGCGAGACTCCGTCTCAAAAAAAAAAAAAAAAAAAAAAAAAAAGTAAGAAGAGTCTTTTGTACACAGCATTCGATTTAAAAAATTTCTTTAAAAAAAACAGGACGTTTAAAATCCATTTATCACTCTATATCTTTCTATTCAGTTATTTAATACATTTACATTCGAGGTAATTTTTGATAGGTAAGGACTTAATACTACCATTTTGTGAATTGTTTTCTGCTTGTTTTGTAGATACTTTGTTTCTCTCTCCTTCTCTTGCTATCTTCCTTTATTGTTTGATATTTTTCTGTAGTGGAATGCTTTGAATGCTTTCTATTTTTGTTTTGTCCTTCTGCTAAAGATTTTTGATTTGTGGTTACCATGAGGCCTACATAGAGCATCTTATACTTGTAATAGCCTATTTCAAGCTGATAACAACTCAACTTTGTACATAGCAAAGTACTTTTATGGCCCCTTCCCCATATTTTATGCTTTTGATGTCAGAATTTATGTCATTTTATAATGTGTTTCTTTCGACAATTTATTTTAGCTACAGTTATTAATAGTTTTCTTTTAACCCTTGCACCAGGGATAAAATTGCTTTGTCACCATTACATTCCCAGAATATTCTAAATATGTATCTGTGTTACTTACACCATTTAGCTTAGTGCTTTCATTTGTTTCGTGTCATTAATTACCAGCCTTTTGTTTCAGCTTAAATAACTCCCTTTAGCAATCCTTGCAAAGCAGGTCTCATGATAATGAACTCCCTTAGCTTTTTTCTGGGAAAGTTTTTATGCCTCATTTCTGAATGACAGTTTTGCAGATAAAGTATTCTTGGTTGGCAGTTTTTTTTTTCTTTAGCACTTTGAATGTATCATCTCACTGTCTCCTGGCCTGTAGGGTTTCTGCTGAGAAATCTACTGATAGTTGTATTGGCACTCCTTTTTACGTGATATGTTTCTTATCTTTTGCTGCTCTCAGAATTTTTTGTCTTTGATTTTTGGTGGTTTGATTACTATGTGTCTTGGTGAACTCTTCTTTGAGTTGAATTTGATTGAACATCTCTGTGTTTCCTATATCTGGATGTTGGCATCTATCCCCAATTAGGGAAGTCTTTAGCCAATGTATCTTTAAATACATGTTCTTGCCCTTTATCCTATTATGCAAAGGTTTGATTTTTTTTTTTTTTTTTTTTTTTTTTTTGAGACAGAGTCTCGCTGTGTCGCCCATACTGGAGTGCAGTGGTGCGATCTTGGCTCACTGCAAACTCTGCCTCTGGGTTCACACCATTCTCCTGCCTCAGCCTCCCAAGTAGCTGGGACTACAGGCACCCACCACCATGCCCAACTAATTTTTTAGTATTTTTAGTAGAGACAGGGTTTTACCGTGGTAGCCAGGATGGTCTCAATCTCCTGACCTCGTGATCCACCCGCCTTGGCCTCCCAAAGTGCTGGGATTACAGGTGTGAGCCACCACACCTGGCCAGGTTTGATCTTTTGATGGTATCCCATAGTTCCTGTAGGTTTTCTTCATTCTTTTTCAGTCTTTTGTCTTTTTGTTCCTCTGACTGGATAATTTCAAATTTTCTATTTTTTGGCCCATTGATTCTATCAGAAGAAAGATAGAATCTGTGGTTAATAATTTTTACCGAATTTTTCAGTCCAGTCATTGTATTCTTCATCTCTAGGATTTCTACTTGATTCTTTTTAATGTTTTTATTTCATCGTTGAGCTTCTCACTTTGTGTATTGTTTTGCCAAATTTCATTAAATGTTATATTTGTATACTTTTATGTTGATCTTTTAGAGGATTATTTTGAATTCTTTGTCAGTAATTTCATAGATCTCCTTTTCTTTGGGGTCTATCATTGGCACTTTATTACTTTCTTTTGGAGGTGTTATGATTCCTTGATTTTCTGTAATCCTTGTGTTCTTGTATTGTTATCTGCATATTTGCAAGGCAGCCTCTCTTCTGTCCTTTAAAGTTGTTTTGAGGCAGGGATAAATCTTCACTATTTAGTCCAGCCTGTGATTCTGGAAGGACCAGCTGGTGATGACCCCTGGCAGGCAGAACTTGTTGTGGGTTCTCTAGTTGGCTGAGATGCTGCCTTTGCTCTGATGTCATCTGATATCAACATCTGGTATCAGATACTGGCTGGGCTGCACTATCTGATGAGACCACTGGCTGGGCTCTGCTATCAGGCAGTACTGTGATGGCTTCTGGTCAGGCCAGTCACAGTGTATTTTTTTAATGAACAATTTCACTATTTGGGTTCTTTAGTTGGGCAGGACCATAAGCTGGGCTCTGAGTTTAAGCAGAGTTGCTGCTCGTGATAGGTGGGACTAGGGGCAATGCTCCTTAGAAATGCATGATTGAGGATTATTTCCCTTTAAGGGTGAATCCATGGGATGGGCTTTTGGTAGGGTATGGCTGCTGCTTGACTTACGTAGTCAAGCTGGTCGTGTCCCTTTGCTTCTTTGAAATGGGTAGAGGTAGGCATCTCCCTGCCTGGTTGGGGTCACTGGGAGCCTCTGAGGCTGGGCAGAAAGACTAGCTGTCTTGGGACCCAAGCTAGTTCCTAATTTGTATAGATTTAACCATTAAAGATTAAATATAGCAATACCATCACTAACCTTTACCTGGCAAACATACATAGAATATTGCACTCAAAAACTGAAGAATATGTGTTTCCTAAAGCACACATAGGGCGTTTATAAGAATTGCCCATACATTGGGTCATAAAGGAAATGCAAAAGATTTTAATAAAGAACTGGAATCATACAGAATATGTTCTGTATTCATAAGTAATTAAACAAGAAATAAGCTTTCTTAAAATTAAAAAAAGCTTTTTTAAAAAAAGAAATAACAGGACAAGTTTGATAAAAACTTGGGAGTGTTGTCAATCTATGGATTTTTTCATTGATATGACAAGTGATATTTTATAAGCCTTTACTCACAAACTTATATGTTGCTATACTGTTTTTGGAAAATTGGAAATACCCTGCTGAATCATACTCTAAGATAAATTATGAATTCCTGATCTCAATGATTTATTCAAAATTTATTTATAGAACTTTTATAAATGTCAGTCATAGCTCCAGCTACAAAAGATGCAGTTGTGAACAAGCCAAAGTCCCCACTTGAGGGTTTCAGGCTAGTAGATAATTCCAGATGATTACAATGTAGTGTCATAAGGCAAAGCAGATTGAAGCGGTGCACATTGCCCACAGGTGAATTTTGTAGGGAATATTTAGTTTACCTGAAAATGTCTTTATATCACCTTCATTTTTGAAGGTTATTTTTATTGCAATTGCATTCTAGGTTGACAGTTTTTTTTCTTTCAGCACTTTGAAGTTATCACTAAAGATGTCTACTATCGGCCAGGAGCAGAGGCTCATGCCTGTAATCCCAGCACTTTGGGAGGCCGAGGCAGGTGGATTACCTGAGGTCAAGAGTTCAAAACCAGCCTGGCCAACATGGTGAAACCCTGTCTCTACTAAAAATACAAAAATTAGCTGGGTGTGGTGGCGGGTGCCTGTAATCTCAGCTACTCAGGAGGCTGAGGCAGGAGAATCGCTTGAACCTGTGAGGTGGAGGTTACAGTGAGCCAAGATTGTGCCACTGTACTCCAGCTTGGGCTTGGCGACAAGAGCCAAACTCTGTCTCAAAAAAAAAAAAAAGGTGTCTGCTATCAAGAGCTGACTCTGATGTCAGTGGTTGCTTTTTTCAGTTCCTCCTGTATGTAATGTTTCTTGCCCTCACTTCCATCTTTGCTTTATTTTTTGGACTCCAATATTGCTCAGCTACTGAATTTCTATAAACTCACAGTCCTCCAGCAGCTATTTTTGTCAGGCTGATGGAGTCAAGTGTAGCTTAGTATTCAGCCAAAGATTCAAGGTTACCGGTATAGTTTCTGGAACACTGTCCAAAATTTGACCTGAAAATCCTGCCCTCTCAGCAGCCCTGAGCTCCAATCTTTGTTTATTCTACCCACCTGTTCTTTATTTAGGCTTCTACTTATCTATGCTACAATTTGGAGTGTCCCCAGCAGGAAACGAGAATCAGTGGAGAGCTCAACTTCTCGGTTTCCTTCTCTAAGTATCACAACCCTGTCCTGTTTGTAGACCAATGCCTGAAAACAATTTTTCATATATTGTGTCCAGTTTCAGATTGGTTTACAGTGGCAATCTAAGTTCTATAGCCACTATTTTGTCTTGGCTAGAACTGGAAATTGTACTAATCTTTTCGTTGGCAGGATGGAATTTGTTTTTTAGAATTTGTATTTACAAGAATGCTACTTAAAAAGCATTTCACTAATTCCACCTTTTAGTCAGACACAATGAAACAACTTCTGATCCTTTTTTAAAAAAAATTGAGAGGCTTAAAAATTGAGTAAATCCTAAATTTTCCATGGTAAAAAGTGAGTCTTCTCTTTAAATTCATAAATAAAAGGTTGTTTTAAACTTGATTAAAAAGCTATAAATAGGGAGAAGAGGATAAGAAGTAAAAATAATATTTGAAGAGCCAAAAGACATAAAATTACCCTTCAATCAGTTTTATTCACTTTTCACCCATTTATTTATTCACTCAACAGATATTTATTGAATGCTAAGTGTTGGAGATACACAGATGACTTGGTCTTTCCCTTCAAAACATCATAGGAAAATATGGGAGAAATACATACAAGTAAATAATTAAAAAGCAATATGGAATAAATTCCACTAGAGGGGCATTCTGCCAATTACCTGATCAGCACTCCTTGAAGCTATCAAGGTTATCAAAAACAGGGAAAGAGAAACTATCATAGCCAAGAGGAGCCTAAGGAGATGTGATGACAAATAGAATGTGCCATTTCAGCTGGGATCCTAAAACAAAAAGAGGACATTAGTTAAAAGCTAAGAAACTCTGAATAAAGTATGGACTTTAGTGAATAATAATGTAGCTATATTGGTTCATTAATTATAACAATAATAATGTGAAATGTTACCAATGGGGAAACTGAGTGTGGGGACATATGGGACTCTCTGTGTTATCGTCTCAATTTTTCTGAAAATCTGAAACTACTTAAAAAATAAAGTCCACTTAAATAACAATATGAAAATACAGTCATTTCACAAAGTCCAAAGGAGTGACTCCAACAATAAATATTTAAGAAGTATTTATTTTTATAGTGGTGCTAACTTTGATATAAATGTTACAAGTACTATTTTCTTTTTTTTTAAATTTCAGCATGGATAGTGATGGATCAATGACAGTAGACTGGGATGAATGGAAGTACTACTTTTTACTGCATCCTGCAACAAATATCACTGAAATGATTCATTTCTGGAAGCATTCTACTGTAAGATTACTTTGTATTTTACTTTGTTTTTATTTTGCTCTAAATGTCATAGCTGTTATGATAACATAACCCCTACAATACTTGCAGCCTCAGGGGCTAAAGTTACAATATTTCCCCCCTAATAATGTTCTGCTAATTTAGCTAGTGGTATTAGTATTGTGTGTATAAACAGAGCAACCAGTTTCTTTGTTTGCCAAAATCTAGAACTTAAAATCATAATCTACCTGCTGAAAGTGCCTACTTTGTGTTAAGAATTAATTTCTATGACATAGTATTTAGATTGCCCTAGAAAAGTGAAAAATAATATATTTTTCTTTTTTCACAGATATGCTGTATCTGATTGGGTCTTCTATCATAGAAAACATAAAGTCAAATATTAGGATTTGAAAATTTTAGAACCAGAAAGGGTCAAATATTTAATAATCTGCCTGCTCATTTTATATAAGCCCTTGACTTGGAGTTGTAATAAGGAGATCCTGTAATTGAAGACTTTGTTTCCTTTAGCAGATCTCAGGTGTGGGGGTTAATTATTTATTCATGGCATACTATTCTCATTTACCCTCCTGAGTTTTTGCCTCCTCTCCACAGAGAACATAGGGGAAGCAAAGAGCACAGGCTCTGGACTGCCTAGGCTTGAATTCCACATCTACCACCCACTTGCTCTATCAACCTCTCTGTGCATCATTTTCCTCAGTTATACAGTAGGGATAAAAATGATAAATGTTTTGAGAATTAAATTAGTACATTAGTTAGTAGACTTAAAACAGGGCTAAGCACATAAGTGTTCAATAAATGTTAGTTGTTACGATAGGCACTTATTCTATCTGATATGTTTCATCTGTGTTCTTGGATTTATATATTTGCATATTCTTAGGGAGCATGTAGTATTGTTTCACACATGTGTTTTTGATTTGTATAGCTAGTATTGTGCTAGAGACCACATCTGATTTCTGACTTTATGATTTGTCCTTGATGTTATATGCTTATCTAATTTATTGCTCCTAACATACTCATAGTATGCACTTATCACTTCTTCCTTGTCTATTCCCCAAGAAATGGACATCTAGTTTTTTCTCCAACTTCACCCATAAAAAATGCTTTCATTTTATGTACCTTAGAGAATTTCACCCAGTTTTCCATCATAGGGAATGTGCATTTGTACCTTTTACAACTACTAAGGTATCCAGTTTCAATTTTGTTTTAATTTCATGAAATATTGCCGTAATTTTTTTCCAGAATGGCTAGCCGTAGCAATTCACACTCCTGCCAGCAATGTATGAAGGTTCCCATTTCTTTATGTATTGTTTATTACTTGGTATTATTCAGTTTTATAGCATTTGCTGTTCTGTTGGGCATAAAGTAGAATTTCATTGTTTTAACCTGCATTTCCTTGATTCCTAGTACATTTTGAACATCTCTTCATAGGAATATTAGACATTCACATGTTCTTTTCTATGAATTGTCTGTTTATATGCTTTATCTAGTTTTTTATGGATTTTCTATCATGTCCCTAATGTTTCATAAGAGTTACATATTTATCTTAGATAGTAATCTTTGTTGTACTTTGACGTGCACATATTTTTTCTAGTATGCCATTTGTCTGTTGTTTCTTTGTTTTGTCCATGATATTCCTGGTTGAACAGAAATATTTGATTTTTGGTGAGTAAATCCACAAAATATGTAATGGTTTACAATTTTGGTATCTTATTAAGAAGTACTTTCCTACCTCTTGGTCACAAAGACGTTCTGTATCTTCTATTAGTTCTATGGTTTCTGCTTTTACATTTAGGCCTTTAATGCATCTGTTAGTTCACATTTCTACATGATTAAAAGCAGGGCTCTGATTTTATTATTTTTATATGTAGAGGGAATTTTCCCAGTATACCCTACTAAACATTGAATTCTTTTCACATTCATTTGTGATGCCACCTTTCTCACACATCAAGCTTCCATAAATACTTGGATATTTTCTTGAGCTTCCTTTTCTGTTCCATTGTTTTCTTTTTTAATGCCAATATTGAACTGTCTTTATGACTATGGTTGTGTAGTATAATACTGACCTGGTAAAGTAAATACTTCCTCTTTGTCCCCCTTCCCTCACTGATTTTTCTTATCTTTAAAAAAATTTATTCATTTTATTTATTTATTTATTTATTATGCTTCAATTTCTGGGATACATGTGCAGAATGTGCAGGTTTGTTACACAGGTATACATGTGCCATGGTGGTTTGCTGCACCCATCAACCCATTACCTGGGTTTTAAGCCCTGCATGCATTAGGTATTTGTCCTAATGCTCTCCCCCTCCTTGCCCCCCACCCCCTGACAGGCCCTGGTGTGTGATGTTTCCCTCCCTGTGTCCATGTGTTCTCATTGTTCAGCTTCCACTTATGAGTGAGAACATGTGGTGATTGGTTTTCTGTTCCTGTGTTAGTTTGCTGAGAATGATGGTTTCCAGATTCGTCTATGTCCCTGCAAAGGACATGAACTCATTATTTTTTATGGCTGCATAGTATTCCATGGTGTATATGTGCCACATTTTCTTTATCCAGTCTATCATTGGTGGGCATTTGGGTTGATTCCAAGTCTTTGCTATTGTGAACCGTGCTGCAATAAACATACGTGTGCATGGGTATATACCCAGTAATGAGATTGATGTGTCAAATGGTATTTCTGCTTCTAGACCCTTGAGGAATCTCCACACTGTCTTCTGCAATGGTTGAACTAATTTACAGTCCCACCAACAGTGTAAAAGCGTTCCTGTTTCTTCACATCCTCTCCAGCATGTTGTTTTCTGATTTTTTAATGATCTCCATTCTAACTGGCGTGAGATGCTATCTCATTGTGGTTTTGATTTGCATTTCTCTAATGATCAGTGAGGATGAGCTTGTTTTCATATCTTTGTTGGCAGCATAAATGTCTTATTTTGAGAAGTGTCTGTTTATATCCTTTGCCCAGTTTTTGATGTGGTTGTTTTTTTCTTGTAAATTTGTTTAAGTTCCTTGTAGATTCTGGATATTAGACCTTTGTCAGATGGATAGATTTCAAAAGTTTTCTCCTATTCTGTAGGTTGCCTGCTCACTCTGATGATAGTTTCTTTTGCTGAGCAGAAGATCTTTAGTTTAATGAGATCCCATTTGTAAATTTAGCCTTTCGTTGCAATTGCTTTTAGTGTTTCAGTCATAAAGTCTTTGCTCATGCCTATGTCCTGAATGGTATTACCCAGGTTTTCTTCTAGGGTTTTTATGATTTTAGGTTTTACGTTTAAGTCTTTAATCCATCTTGAGTTAATTTTTGTATAAGGTGTAACAGTTTGAGTTTTCTGCATATGGTTAGCCAGTTTTTCCAGCAGCATTTATTAAATAGGGGATCCTAAAGAAGCAAGAGCAAACAAATTCAAAAGCTAGCAGAAGAGAAGAAATAATTAAGATCAGAGCAGAACTGAAGGAGATAGAGACACAAAAAACTCTTCAAAAAATCAATGAATCCAGGAGCTGTTTTTTGAAAAGATTAACAAAGTAGATAGAATAGTAGCCAGACTAATAAAGAAGAAAAGAGAGAACAATCAAATAGACACAATAAAGAGTGATAAGGGGGATATCACCATGGACCCCACAGAAATACAAACTGCCATCAGAGAATGTTATAAACAC